>NW_021159996.1:0-89956 GCF_000001405.40 Homo sapiens | reverse complement strand
CCAGCTATTCAGGAGGCTGAGGCAGGAGAATTGCTTGAACCCAGGAGACAGAGGTTGCAGTGATCTGACACAGTGCCCCTGCACTCCAGCCTGGGCAACAGAGATTCTGTCAAAAAAAAAAAAAAAAAAAAAGACATATAGATTAGTGGAAAAGAATTCAGAATCCAGAAATAAACTCTCACATTTACAGTCAGTTGATTTTTTTTCTTTTTTTTAAGCGGGAGTCTCACTCTGTTGCCCAGGCTGGAGTGCAGTGATGTGATCTTGCCTCACTGCTAACTCCGCCTCCCAGGTTCAAGTGATTCTCCTGGCTCAGCCTCCCGAGTAGCTGGGAATACAGACGTGTGCCACCACATCAGGCTAATTTTTGTATTTTTAGTAGAGATGGGGTTTCACCATGTTGGTCAGGCTGGTCTCAAACTCCTGACCTCAAGTGATCTGCCACCTTGGCCTCTCAAAGTGCTGGGGTTACAGGCATAAGCCAACATGCCTGGCCCTGTCACAGTTGATTTTTATTTTCAACAAGGGTGCCAAAATAATTTAATGTGAAAAAGAATAGTCTTTCCGACAAATGGTGCTGGGACAACTGAATATGTACATGGAAAAGAATAAATGTGAATTCCTATCTCACACCATATAAAAAAGAACTCGAAATGGATCAAATACCTAAATATAAGAGCTAGAACTATTTACACTCTTAGAAAAAGACATGGGCATAAATCTTTGTGACTTGCTCAGGCAAGATTTTCTTAGATATGGTACCAAAAGGACAAATAACAAAAGAAAAAGTAGGCTGGGGGCAGTGGCTCACTCCTGTAATCCCAGCATTTTGGGAGGCAGAGGCAGGCGGATCACCTGAGGTTGGGAGTTCGAGACCAGCCTGATTAACATGGAGAAACCCCATCTCTACTAAAAATACAAAATTAGCCAGGCGTGGTGGTGCATGCCTGTAATCCCAGCTACTTGGGAGGCTGAGGCAGAAGAATCACTTGAACCCAGGGGGCAGAGTTTGCGGTGAGCCAAGATCCCGCCACTGCACTCCAGCCTGGGCAACAAGAGATAAACGCTAACTCAAAAAACAAAACAAAACAAAACAAAAGGTAGATGAATTGGATTTCACCAAAATTAAAAACTTTTGTGTTTCACAGGACACCATGAAAACAGCAAAAAGATAACCCAAAGTAGTGAGACCCCGTCTCTACAAAAAATAAAAAATTAGCTAGGCATGGTGGTGCGTGCCTGTGGCCCAAGTTACTCAGCAGGCTGAGATGGGAGGATCACTTGAGCTCAGGAGTTTGAGGCTGCAGTAAGCCGTGATCATGCCACTGCAACTCCAGCTGGGGTGACAGCAAGATTCTGTCTCAAAAAAATAAATAAAGATTGCCGGGAGCAGTGGCTCACACCTGTAATCCCAGCACTTTGAGAGGCTGAGGCAGGTGGATCACTTGAGGCCAGGTGTTTGAGACGAGCCTGGCCAACAGGGTGAAAGCCCATCTCTACTAAAAATACAAAAATTAACCAGGCATGGTGGTTCATGTCTGTAGTCCTAGCTACTCGGGAGGCTGAGGCAGGAGAATCACTCAGAAAATCTCAGGAGGCAGATGCTGCAGTGAGCCAAGATCATGCACTGCAATCCAGCCTGGGTGACAGAGCAAGACTCTGTCTCAAAAAAAAAAAAAAAAAAAAAAAAAGAAGAAGAAGAAGAAGAAAAAATTTAAAACTAATATATCTGATAAGTAACGTATCTAGAATACAGAACTCTTATAATAAAATAATAAATTATTACAATAATAAAAAGATAACCCAATTAAAAAATGAGCAGGGTGTAGTAGTAAGCACCTATGATTCCAGCTACTTGGGAGGCTGGGGTGGAAGGATCCTTGAATCCAGGAGTTTGAGGCTGTAGTGCACTATGATTACATCTGTGAATACCCACTTTGCTCCGGCCTGGGCAACATGGTAAGACCCCCTCTCTAAAAGAAATTTTTTCTTTTCTTTTTTCTTTTTATTTTTTTTTAAGACGGAGTCTCGCTCTGTCACTGCCCTGCTGGAGTACAATGGCATGATTTCGGCTCACTGCCACCTCCGCCTCCTGGGTTCAAGTGATTCTCCTGCCTCAGCCTCCTGAGTAGCTGGGATTACAGACATGCACCACCACGCCTGGCTAATTTTTTGTATCTTTTTTTAATGGCTGTTATGCTTTTAATGGTGGCATGTACAAAATTCATCAATGCAAAAGATGTTTTACATACTCATAGACATAGTGATTAATGTAAATTATATCTTGACAATGTAAAGTACAGTGTGTTTGGCCTCAGAAAAGAAAGTAGAGAGTTAGCTGCAACTTAACATAACTGGAAAGGCTCTTTACGTTGTTTTTGCTCACCACCTTTATTATGATACTTCTAAATGATATCTGGGGAGGGAATTAAAAAATAAGACAAAGCTCTTTTCAGCTGTGGTTCAAAGAACTCTAGTGAAGCTGTATGGCAATGACATTGTGGGACCATGAAGTTTCCGTAGAAGTATTTTCAATAACAGGCAGTTAAGAAGCTTAATAGTTTCAAAGTCTGGAAAGCAGTAAAGATATCTTAGAGAATTTAAAAACATAAACTCCACTTCTCTCCTACAGAGACATTTTAAAGCATGGACATAACTTTAAGGAGATTGAGAAAACATCAGTAGTTTTCATAAAGCTTCAATGAACACCCCAAGGCACAAGTGTTGAAAACGGCCTGTTCACTAGAACATCACTTTTGGAGATACAGGTATGCTGTGCTTGCAGTGAGAGGACGACTTTATCCCTAGTTTAAAGCACCGGGTGTCAAGCTCAGCTTCCATTTACACAGGATGCACCAATAATCCCTATGATAGTGAATCGTTCAAGTACTATTTCCAATAGGTCTTTTGCCTATTTGCTTAGTCAGTATTGGGGTTCTTTTAAACTCTGTGGGTCTGAATTTTTTTTTTTTTTTTTTGAGACAGAGTCTCACTCTGTCACCCAGGCTGGAGTGCAGTGGCGCAATCTTGGCTCACTGCAACCTCCGCCCCCAGGGTTCAAGCGATTCTCCTGCCTCAGCCTCCGGAGTGGCTGGGATTACAGGCACCTGCCACTGCACCCAGCTAATTTTTGTATTTTTAGTAGAGATGGGGTTTCGCCATCTTGGCCAGGCTGGTCTTGAACTTTTGACCTCGTGATCCACCTGCCTCGGCCTCCCAAAGTGCTGGAATTACAGGGGTGAGCCACCACACCTGGCTGGGCTGTAGAATATTTTAAAAGGTTAGAACTACCTCAAAAATAGTGTTGAAATAATACCGAGCCCTTTTAAAAGAGCTCACTGCATTTTTAAATAACATTTATGGAAAGAAAGAAAGACAAAATTTGTAGTAGCTGAGTTCCTTTCAAGTGAAAAGTAATAATGTAGAACTAACATGTAGGCTAAAATGTTTGGTAATTAATGTCAAAAATTGCCAAGATTATTAATATATATTTTGGTAACCACCATTGGGCAGGTTAATTTTTTGTGCAAAATACACTATATATTAATAGAACAGGAAAATCATTATTTCAGACCACTAACAGAAGAAAACCCACAGCAAGAGAAGCATCTATAGGGCAATTAAATGTTAGGGAATTTACTATCTTTAGAATACATCAATACACTTTGATTAGAGAAATATTTCATTTTTAAAACTAGAGTGTTTTAATGTACTTTTAGTAACAACCCAATCTAAGGAGACTTGGAGGCTTGTGAAAAAGACATATCCACAAAGATGCTGCATTTCTAGTGTGTGGGTGAATTAATACTTCTGTAAGGAGGAAGGAACTGAATCACCTCAGCATCAATAAACAGCATTTTTCTTTTAAACAATAACTCATAATCTGATGACTCATTTTGCTTTACTAGTTCAAAATTAGGCAGGAGAAGAACTAAGCTAACTGGTCAGACCCAGAAACACAATGATTTGGCAAGCCGCGGTCACTTAGCTCATGATGTGTGATAATAGGCAGAAAGGCTGCTCAACTCTTGTCCAATCCTTCACATCTGTAGAGGAGTTTGATATAACCACTTATCTTTATCAACTTTAAGCTACATACAGGCAAAGAGATCACAAACTGCAGGGAGGTGGTAATGGTCTCGGGGGAAGTTATGTTTCTCCTGTAGAGGTTAATTAAGTAATACTTCCTGGGTCTTCTTCCAAAGCAGCCACTTGTCTTCTCCAGAGGATAACTGGCTGAGATTGCCCATCTTCTCTCCTGGCAGGACCCAGTCAGCTGTGTTAAAGGGACACCAGGAAGTGCTCATATGGGCCTTTTAAGCTTTTGTTTGCCAGTTCTGTCTTCAGTGCTAGGCCCTTCCTTGGGACTTCCTTCTTTGTATAGGGGCCTGATAAGCCACTCCAACAAGGGGCTGTTCTTTATGACTTGGAAGGAATCAGCAATTCTAGAAGGAACCACTGCCTTTGGTGCTTAGTTTGTTCTATTAATTCTTTTCTAGAAGGACAGAGCCACATATTCAGGGAATCTTTATGCTTCTCAGGCTCAGGTTTGGGTTCCACGGGCATCCCATTTTTATCCTTTCCTTCTTTCTTCAGAAGCCACTTATACAGAGCCTCCTTCTCACAGCTCTCATCACACACACACTCTGCAGAGCTTGTACAGGGCTCATTGGCTCTGCACACCTCTTCTGCCTTACATGGGTCCTGATGGTTCTGGACAAGCCAATCCTCTGTAACCATGCTGAGGGTGAACAATGGTTTCTTGGCCTCCAAGTGGTCATTCAGACACTTCAGATTGCCCAGGTTTTCAATCCCCACAGTTTGGGGCTGGTTTCCCTGACAGTTGGTACAGGAGTAAGTCTTGACAAGCCAATCATTCACATTATAGGACTGGAATAAGAGCTTAAACTTCTCACTGGTTTCACAACTGCCATTCTCAGGCTTCCTCAGCTTATGGGATTCCTGGGGAGTCACCAGCCAATCTGATAGGTCCATCTCATCTTGATCAGGAAGCTTTAGATCTTCAAACTTTTCCATTTCAATGGAGAAATGACTAGTAGTGGAATGGCTGTTACAGTTTTGATAACTTGGTTTTTCAGGAATTTCCTGTTGCTGACTCTTGAGGAGCCAGTTTTCTAAGCCCTTTAGGTTTCCCCAGACATTACTGAAGAAATTGCAGGCTCTGAAAGAAGTCTGGCTATTCTCCAAGGTCTGCTTTTGGGTGAGCCAGTCCTGGGGGTTGGTGCTGGGTATGTAAGGAGCCTGATGACCACTGGCAGGTTGGCTCCCAAGCAGCCATTCACTGAGAGGGACAGCTACAATACTGGATGCTGACTTCTGCTCTGGCATTGGGTTATAGCTTCTCTTGTCCAGGAAGGGCCCAATATTTGATGAACTAGCATGAGCCATGAAGTGCTCAGGAGTCTGAATGATTTTGAGAGACCCAAATGTGGTGATGGTCTGGCGCAGAGCACTTGTGTCAGCTTCAAAGAGCGAGATAGTTGAATCTTTAGGCTTAAGGGTCAAACTGCCCAGTCTCTTCAGGCACGCAGACTTGATTGGCTAGATCTTTGTTTTGGGTACAGTCCAGTTGATGAGTAAGAAAATTGAACTGGCCCAATAACCACTAGAGCTACTGAGCCTGCTGTTGAAGTGTCTCCTCTTTAAGCTGATAGATGAGGTCTACCTGTTCATATAGCCACACCTCACAACTTCTAAGACATTCCAGGTGACAGCTTATGCAACTGTGAATCTGAGCTTTGACCTCTCTCAAGTTATCTTTAATTTGCTGTTCAGCCCGGAGAACTCCACCAATAGCAAGCTCCAAGTCCCTCCATGCATCACTACACCTCAAAAGGGGTTCTATTTATTTATTTATTTATTTATTTTTGAGACAGAGTCTCGCTCTGTTGCCCAGGCTGGAGTGCAGTGGCGCGATCCTGACTCACTGCAAGCTCCGCCTCCTGGGTTCAGGCCATTCTCCAGCCTCAGCCTCCTGAGTAGCTGAGACTACAGGCGCCTGCAACCACGCCCAGCTAATTTTTCGTATTTTTAGTAGAGACGGGGTTTCACCGTGTTAGCCAGGAGGGTCTCGATCTCCTGACCTCGTGATCCGCCCACCCCGGGCTCCCAAAGTGTTGGGATTACAGGTGTGAGCCACCGTGCCTGGCCTCAAAAGGGGTTCTCTATTACTGGAGCTGCCACTCTGGTCTTAGAAGGTATTCATTCTGCTCACTGCTCCAGGTCCGAGTGCCTCTCTGAGCGATCCGAGGGGACCTTGGGTGGGCTGAGACACGGGCCACACAAACCTAGGGCCCAAAGCAATTTTTTGTATTTTTAATAGGGATGGGGTTTGGCCACATTGGCCAGGCTAGTCTTGAACTCCTGGCCTCAAGTGATCTGCTGGCCTCGACCTCCCAAAGTGCTGGGATTACAAGCATGAGCCACTGCTTCCAGACTAAAAAATTTTTTTCTTTTGTCTATAACCTTTAGATTTATTTTTATATTTATGAAGCAATAAGCAAACAAATAGTAAGAGTTGGGGGAGATTACCTAAAATGGTTTTCTTTTGGAATAGTTTTCTAAAAAATCAAATAACTGTTATTATTTTAAGTTGCATGGGACTGAAGCTGCACCTGGAAAGGGATTTCATTTTCATGACCTGCAAAATTGGTTAGGCAATGAGCTATTATTCCTCCCTCCCTGTGAACACATTTATAAACTTCGATGGGGGCAAATTCCATCTAATACTCTGAAAACCATTTCTCATCTCATAATTTACCCAAATCATGTGCACGACTGCAAGAGGAAATAAACAGAAATCTTTAAGCATACATAAGCCACAATGGATTATTAATCTTGTACAGACAATCCAGCATTAAGGCTAATTTGATCTTTTAAACATTTTATGGAAAACATTTGACATTTTCACTAGAAAAGCCCACAAGCTATCATAACCCCAAAGGCATACAGCCGTGGCAGGCAGGGCTCCATCGGGCTCCTCTTGAACTGGGCACCCCTTCACGGGTAGAAAAGCAGGAACACATGTCTTCGCTTCCTGCTGCTCTGCACACACATCACAATATCTTGCAGAAGGTGGTTTCTGTCTTCCTTGGAGACATTAAACACTTTCACATCATTTCTGTTTCTGATTTCTTCTACAAGGGCCAGTGACTTTCCTTTAGGGACTGGGATTGTGCCAGCGATTATAGTCCCTGGGGTAGATAGCATCTGACAAACAGATTGGATGAAAGGCTAACTAAAGAGTTTCATTTTCCCACTCTCATCAGTGACACACACTCTCTGCCCTGGGTCACTGCTGGAATCTGCATTCCTCAAGATAGGGAGCGCCAACTGCTCAAAATAAGTCAGGTTAACCACATAATGCCCAACTTGGCATCCACATTTTCCAGGTGGAGGCTCTAACCCAACTCTAAATAAAGGCCCCTGGATGCCAAACAACACGATGACATCAAATCCTATTCTTCTCCCTCCCTGTCTGACTTCCTCTCTATAAAATCCACTGGGGTCGTGGTCAGGGTTGCAGTCGGGTTAGGGTTGCAATTCAGGTCAGGTCCAGGTCAGGGTCACGATTCAGGCCCTGCTCACCCTGTACCGTAGGCCCCCAGCAATTTTCTTTTTTTTTTTTTGAGATGGAGTCTCACTCTGTTGCCCAGGCTGGAGTGCAGTGGCATGACCTTGGCTCACTGCAACTTCCACCTCCCAGGTTCAAGCGATTCTCCTGCCTCAGCCTCCCGAGTAGCTGGGATTACAGGCATGCATCACCACACCTGGCTAATTTTTGTATTTTTAGTATAGACGGGGTTTCGCCATGTTGGCCAGGCTGGTCTTGAACTCCTGACCTCAAGTGATCCGCCCACCTTGGCCTCCCAAAGTTCTGGGATTACAGGCGTGAGCCACTGCACCCGGCCCCCAATTTTTTTTTTTTTTTTTTTCTGAGATGGAGTCTCGCTGTGTCACCAAGTTGGAGTGCAGTGGCATGACCTTGGCTCACTGCAACCTCCGCCTCCCGGGTTGCAGCGATTCTCCTGCCTCAGCCTCTCAAGTAGCTGGGATTACAGGCACCCACCACCATGCCCAGCTAATTTTTGTATTTTTAGAAGAGACGGGTTTTCACCATGTTGGCCTGGCTCGTCTCGATCTCCTGACCTTGTGATCCACCCGCGTCAGCCTCCCAAAGTGCTGGGATTACAGGCGAGAACCACCGCGCCTGGCTCAAAATTTTTTTAAAATAAAAAAATAAGATATCACTTCACATACACTAGATGGCTAGAATTTAACAGGCAGAGAATAGCAAATATTGACTAGGAGGTAGAGAAACTGGAACCCTCATACATAACTAGTGGGAAAGTAAAATGGTGCAACCACTTGGAAAGCAGTCTGGCAGTTCTTCAAAAGTTTATATATAGAGTTGCCATATGACCAAGCATCCCCTCACCCAGGTACATACCCAAGAGAAATGAAAATGTGTGTCCACACAAACACTTGGGCATGAATGATCATTGCAGCATTATTTATAATAGTCAAAAAGTGGAAATAACTCAATTGTCCTTAACTAATTAATGGTCAATAAAAGTGGTATATCAATGGAACATTATACACAATGGAATATTTTTGGCAACAAGAAGGATAAAAAGAAATGAAGTACTGATACATGCTACAACATGGGCAAACCTGTAAAACATGATGCTAAGGGCAGGGCGCAGTGGCTCAGGTCTGTAACCCCAGCACTTTGGGAGATCAAGGAGGGCTGATCACCTGAGGTCAGGAGTTCGAGACCAGCCTGGCCAACATTGTGAAACCCTGTCTCTACTAAAAATACAAAAAATTAGCTGGGCATGGTGACTCGTGCCTGTAATCCCAGCTACTCAGGAGGCTGAGAGAGGAGAATCGCTTGAACCCAGGAGGCGGAGGTTGCAGTGAGCTGAGATCGCACCACTGCACTCCAGCCTGTGTGATGGAGCGAGACCCCATCTCAAAAACACACACATAAAAAACAAACAAAAAAAAACCATGATGCTAAGAAGCCGGACACAATCACATATTGCATGATTCGATTTATGTTGTGTCCAGTATAGGCAAATCTATAGATACAGAAAGCAGATTAGTGGTTGTCTGGGGATGAGGTAGGGGTGTTGGTTGGTGGTTGGGGGTTGATGGTTATATTAGTCCATTCTCACACTACTATGAAGAAATACCCAAGACTAGATAATTTATAAAGGAAAGAGGTTTAATTGACTCACAGTTTTGCATGGCCGGGGCGGCCTCAGGAAACTTACAATCACGGCAGAAGGAAAAGGAGAAGCAGGCACCTTTTTCACAGGGCAGCAGGATGGAATGAGTGTAAGCCGGGGAAATGCCAAACGCTTATAAAACCATCAGATCTCATGAGACTCACTCACTATCATGAGAACAGCATGGGGGAAACCACCTCATCATCCAATTACCTCCACCTGGTCCCACCCTTGACATGTAGGGATTATGGGGATTACAATTCAAGATGAGATTTTTGGTGGGGACAGAGCCAAACTATATCAATGGCTAAAGGTACAGGTTTCTTTTGGGAGTGACAAAAATGTTCTAAAATTAACTGTGGTGATGGTTGCACAACTATGTGAATATACTTAAAACCATTGAATTGAATAGCATGCTTTAAGTTGGTGAGCCGTATAATATATGACATATCTCAATAAAGCTATTATCAAAATGAGTAAATAAATAAACAAGACTGGGCGCAGTGGCTCATGCCTGTAATCCCAGCACTCTGGGAGGCTGCGGGGGATGGACCACCTGAGGTCGGGAGCTCAAGACCAGCCTGACTGACATGGAAAAACCCCATCTCTACTAAAAATACAAAATTAGCCAGGCATGGTGGTGCATGCCTGTAATCCCAGCTACTAGGGAGGCTGAGGCAGGGGAATTGCTTGAACCTGGGAGGCGGAGGTTGCAGTGAGCAGAGATCGTACAATCGCACTCCAGCCTGGGCAAAAAGAGCAAAACTCCATCTCAAAAATAAATAAATAAATAAATAAATAAATAAATAAATAAATAAATAAATGGTAGATCTCTGCACCCGGCTAGATACCTCCTTCCAACAAAATGTGGGTCCATTGTTCACTTCCTGAAGATATAGCAGCTCAGCCAGCCAGCTGTGCTTCCCTGCCCCCAATCACACCATCATCTAGCCCCTCTTTCCTCATTACGTCTACTAGGATAGCATCTTGTTTAGGGAAGACCATGACACAATAGTTAATTCCATGATGGGACAATAGAATTATAACAGAGGGGCAGCTGGAGTCAGACCCAGAAGCCACCCCTGGATTAGATATCAAATCTCTGTGTCTGCAGGAGAGGTGATTTGAGCCCAAGGTAGAAACCAAGGTAAGAGGGGCTGGCAACTCCAAGAGTGTGATTGTCAGTGGTGATAATGATGGTGATGGTGCTGGTGGTGGTGATAAGAGTTAGCAATTACTGGCAGGGTGCAGTGGCTCACATCTGTAATCCCAGAACTTTGGGAGGCTGAGGTGTGTGGATTGCTTGAGCCTAGGAGTTCTAAGCCAGCCTGGACAACATGGTGAAACCCCATCGCTACAAAAAAAAAATACAAAAATTAGCTAGGCATGGTGGTACAAGTCTATAGTCCTTGCTACTTGGGAGGCTGAGGTGGGAGGATTGCCTGAGTCTGGGAGGTCAAGGCTGCAGTGAGCTGTGATTGTCATTGCACTCCAGCCTGGGAGACAGACCCTGTCTCAAAAACAAACAAACAAGCAAAAAAAAACAAAAACAAAAAATGACTGGGCAAGGTGGCTCATACCTGTAATCCCAGCACTTTGGGAGGCCGAGATGGGTGGATCACTTGAGGTCAGGAGTTCAAGACCAGCCTGGCTAACATGGTGAAACCCCATCGCTACTAAAAATACAAAAATACAAAAATAGTGGCATGTGTCTGTGGTCCTAGCTACTCGGGAGGCTGAGGCAGGAGAATCGCTTGAACCCAGGAGGCGGAGGTTGTAGTGAGCCGAGATTGCACCACTACACTCTAGCCTGGGCAACAAAGTGAGACTCCATCTCAAAATAAATAAATAAATAAATAAAATAAAAAGACTTAGCAATTACTGAGCATTTACAAATCAGGTCTGCACATGCATTTATGCATTTTTTCTTTCCATTCTCAAAACAATTCTGTCAGATAAAAGATGTTGCTATCCCCATTTTAGGTATGAGGAAATTTGGGTTTAAAGAGGTTGCATATCTGGGCCAAGGTCACACAGCCAGAAGAAGCAGAGGCCAGATTGGAAACCAGGTCTACTGTGATCAACTGATAAAATCCCCCCAATGTCCCTATTCTGGTAGGATTAAGGGGCACTGAGGTTGTGTGGGCAAAAGAGTGGCTCCATAGAGGCCAGAGGCCTCCCTACCCCATTCACACTCTGTCCAAGGCCCAGAGTCCCCTGAATGAAAGCATGGGGGCTTATTTCTCACTGGGACCACTGATAATGAGTTTCAGGGAAGACTCGTGAAAGCTGTAACTCAGCTGGAAATAGAAATGAAAGCCAGCCCAGACCAGCACTTCCGGGGTGTCTGGAGGGAAGAAGCAACTACCAGAGGAAGGAGCAGGCTGTGGAGCGGAGTGTGGGAACTCAGCACCACCAGCCTGAGAGCTGCAGCCAGTAAGCCAGGCAGCCTGGAACTTGGGCCTAACTTCCCTCCATGGCCCTCAGCTTCCTCTTTGGAGGACCAGATGGTCAGTCTGGAAGAGCTGTGATGTCCCTGCTTGTCAATACAGCTGAAGTGTCTTACTGCTGAGGACAATCCCATGAATGCAGCTGTTGTGATGCTTCCTAGGTACTGAGGCCCTGGCCACAAGCCACAAGGGTCCCACCCACCCTCCAGTCCCGTTCTTATACCACTGACCCTGTTATGAATTAAGTTGTGTCTCCAAAAAGATAATACTGAAATCCTAATCTATGGTAGTTGTGAATGTGACCTTACTTGGAAATAGGGCCTTTGCAGATGCAATTGAGTTAAGGTGAGGTCATTAGGGTAGGTCCTAATCCAGTGACTGGTGCTTTTTTTTTTTTTTGAGACAGAGTCTTACTCTGCCCCCAGGATGGAGTGCAGTGGTGCAATCTCAGCTCACTGCAATGTCCACCTCCTGGGCTCAAGCAATTCTGCCTCAGCCTCCTGAGAAGCTGGGATTACAGGCGTGAGCCACCATGCCCAGCTAATTTTTTTTTTTTTTTGAGATGGAGTTTCGCTGTTGTTGCTCAAGCTGGAGTGCAGCGGCGTGATCTCGGCTCACTGCAACCTCCGCCTCCTGGGTTCAAGAGATTCTCCTACCTCAGCCTCCTGAGAAGCTGGGATTACAGGGTCCTGCCACCACACCCACCTAATTTTTTGTATTTTTAGTAGAGACGGGGTTTCACCATGTTGGCCAGGCTGGTCTCGAACTCCTGACCTCAGGTGATCCATTTGCCTCGGCCTCCCAAAGTGCTGGGATTACAGGCATGAGCCACCGTGCCTGGCCTTTTTTTTTTCTAGAGATGGGGTCTCCCTGTGTTGCCCAGGCTGGCCTTGAACTCTAGCCTCAAGCAATCCTCCTGCTTCAGCCTCCCAAAGCACTAGGATTACAGGCATGAGCCACTGTACCTTCACCTGGTGTCTTCATAACAAGAAAGGCTATGTGAAGACAGAGACACAGAAGGGAGAATGGCACGTGATGAAGGAGGCAGAGGTTGGGTCCAGACACACCTGGGACTACCAGAAGGTAGAAGTGGCAAGGAGAGATCCTCCTCTAGAGCGGGAGTCCCCAGTCCCTGGGCCTCGGACCAGAACTGGTTTGTGGCCTGTCAGGAACCGGGCTGCAGTGGGCGAGCGAGCATTACAGCCTGAGCTCTGCCTCCTGTCCGATCAGTGGCGGCATTAGATGCCCATAGGAGTGCGAACTCCATTGTGAATTGCACATGCGAGGGATCTAGGTTGCATGCTCCTTAGGAAAATCCAACTAATGCTCGGATGTGAGGTGGAACAGTTTCACCCTGAAATCATCCCCCTTCCCATCCATGGAAAAATCGTCTTGCAAGAAACCAGTCCCTGGTGCCAAAAAGGTTAGGGACCGCTACTCTAGAGATTTCAGAGGAAGTGTGGCCCTACCAACACCTTGATTTTGGACTTCTAGCCTCTGGAACTATGAGAGAATAAACATCTGTTGTTTTTAGCCACGAAATTTGTGATACTTTGTTATGGCAGTTCTTGGAAACTAACAGAGACCCCTCCACATGCTTACTTGCCCCAGCTGCACCAGCCATTGCTCTGTTCCTCCACTGCCTGGCTCCTTCCCACTCCAGGGCCTTTGTGTGTGCTGCTCCTTTCAGAATGTTGCACACCCACCCGCCCTCCATCACTCCCATCCTCCTTCCAAACTCAGGGTAAATCGCTGCCTTCAGGGAAACCTGACCCTGGGTATTCCAATTTCCGCTCACGGCAGCAGGCTGAGTGCATTCCTTGTAGCCCTGCCACATCTGTAGTTAACTACTTACTCATACAGTTGTGTTCTGCCCATTTCCCCTGTCCAGCTGTAGGTGCCATGACAAGTACTGACCTGGCACGTGCACCAGCAGTCCTATCCCATGCAAAGCACGGTACACACAGGGATAGACTGCATGGATTAAGGGTGTGCGGAAATCCTGGCCTGGCACTGGAAGGCCCAGGCTGTGGGGCCTCTGCTCCCTTCGCAGCCTGCACTCCTTCCCGCACCCTGCAGGACCTTTCTCTCCAGGCAGGCCAGGCTAGGCTGGCTTCCCGGCTTCCCTGGACCCCACCATTCCCACTCCTTTTGGCCAAGCCCCAGCTTACTTTATCTGAATGACCTGGCCTCAGTGCCTTCTGCGCCTGCAAGGTCTGCATTAGAGCAGGTTCAGACTCAGGGAAATGAGCCCAGAGTAGCAGGTAGGGCAGAGGGGAGGGAGAGGGGACAGACGGGAGTGGAAGGAGGTCTTAAGACTGAGACAATGTTGGGATTCTCTCTCTCTCTCTCTCTCTCTCTCTCTCTTTTGAGACTAGGTCTTGCTCTGTCACCCAGGCTGAAATGCAGTGGTGTGATCATAGCTCACTGCTGCAGCCTTTAACTCCTTGGGCTCAAGCGATCCTACTGCCTTGAGCTCCCAAAGCACTGGGATTACAGGCGTGAGCCACTGTGCCCAGCTGGATTTTCTTTACGGCATATTTTAAACATTAAACAGGTCAGGCATGGTGGCTCACGCCTGTAATCCCAGCACTTTGGGAGGCCAAAGTGGGAGGATCACGAGGTCAGGAGATCAAGACCATCCTGGCCAACATGGTGAAACCCCGTCTGTACTGAAAATACAAAAATTAGCTGGGTGTGGTGGCACGTGCCTGTAATCCCAGCTACTCTGGAGGCTGAGGCAGGAGAATTGCTTGAACCAGGGAGTCGGAGGTTGCAGTGAGCTGAGTTCGCACCACTGCACTCCAGCCTGGCGACAGAGCAAGACTCCGTCTCAAAAATTTAAAAATAAATAAATAAATAAACATTAAACAAATGATACATGTTCAATGTAGGGAAAAGAAATCTTAGAAAACATAATGAGCAAAAAAGGACAATAGAATAAAAATCACCCATATTCCAACTGCACAGAGTAACCTTTGTTAGAACTTTGTCATATATTCTCCTGGATCTTTTTTTTTTTTTTCTGAGATGGAGTCTGCCTCTGTCGCCTAGGCTGGAGTGCAGTGGCACGATCTTGGCTCACTGCAACCTCCGCCTCTCGGGTTCAAGCGATTCTCCTGCCTCAGCCTCCCAAAGATGGCCTCGATCTCCTGACCTCGTGATCTGCCCGCCTCAGCCTCCCAAAGTGCTGGGATTACAGGCATGAGCCACTGCGCCTGGCCTTCTCCTAGGTCTTTATGTGAGCCTATTGTAGAGGAGAGAAAGTGTAGGGAATTCCCTGCATTGTTAGGGCATGATTTTGAAAAACCAGAGTTTCCAGGAAGCCTCATTGCTCCTCTGAGGCCAAGGCATCTATCAATGTGTGTCTTCCCATGTCTGGTCATGATGTGGGGAAGGGTTCAGGGCGAGGACCCCTCTGACCTGGACAGGAATGAACTACTGCTGCTCTGCGGGTGCCATCCTAGCCTCACTCTCCAGGCCTGCCCCTTCTTTGAAGCAGCTTACTGCAGCCAGAGACACTTCCCACCCCAAGGGAACTCAAAGCTTGTGTCAAGGCCAAGGAAAAATTCCCCCTCCGCCCTCTGAAGGCTTGCTGAAAATCACTGACAAGAGGCAGATTAACAGGAGGAAAAATATACAAATTTATTTGATCAGAGTTTTATGTGTCACAGAGGCCTTCAGAATGAAGACCCAAAGACAGAGGGCAAATTGTCTATTTTTACGTTTAGGTTCATTAAAGTATGGACACCCTTGTTGAAATATAATTGGACAGAAAGGGTATGCTCTAATGCTAATAGAATGAGTGGGGAAACCCAGCCTCGCCCGTCTGTCTAGATTCTTCTTGGCCTCTCTGAGCGTGTGTTCCTTCTTTCTGAGTGTGGGGCAGGGCCCTCTCTGGAAGGGGGATTTTATAATCTACACTCAAACAATGTAGGTCAGACCTTCCCTTCCCTTCCCTTCCCTTCCCTTCCTTCCTTTCTCTCTCTCTCTTTTTCTTTCTTTCTTCTCTTTTTTTTTTTTTTGAGACGGAGTTTTGCTCTTGTCGCCCAGGCTGGAGTGCAATGGCACGATCTCGGCTCAGTGCAACCTCCGCCTCCCAGGTTCAAGCAGTTCTCCTGCCTCAGCCTCCCAAGAAGCTGGGATTACAGGCATGCGCCATCACGCCCAGCTAATTTTTTGTATTTTTAGTAGAGATGGGGTTTCTCCATGTTGGTCAGGATGGTCTTGAACTCCTGACCTCAGGTGATCTGCCTGCCTTGGCCTCCCAAATTGCTGGGATTATAGGAGTGAGCCACTGCACCCGGCCTTTTTTTTTTTTTTTTTTGAGATGGAGTTTGACTCTTGTTGCCGAGGCTGGAGTGCAGTGGCATGATCTCGGCTCACCGCAAGCTCCGCCTCCTGGGTTCAAGCGATTCTCCTGCCTCAGCCTCCTGAGTAGCTGGGATTATAGGCACCCGCCACCACGCCCAGCGAATTTTTTGTACTTTTAGTAGAGATGGGGTTTCACTATGTTGGCCAGGCTGGTCTCGAACTCCTGACCTCAAGTGATCCATTTGCCTTGGCCTCCCAAAGTGCGAGGATTACAAGGATGAGCCATTGCGCCTGGCCTATTTTTTTTTTTTTTTTTTTGAGATAGGGTATCACTCTGTCACTTAGGCTGGAGTGCAGTGGTGCCATCACAACTCACTGCAACCTCTACCTCCAGGGGTCAAGTGATGCTCCCACCTCAGCCTCCCAAGTAGCTGGGACTATAGGCGTGTTCCGTCATGCTTGGCTAATTTTTTTTTTTTTTTTTTGTAGAGATGGGATCTCCCTGTGTTGCTTAGGCTGGTCTCAAACTTCTGGGCTCAAGTGATCCTCCTGCCTTGGCCTCCCAAAGTGCTGGGATTACTGGAATGAAATCAAGGCACAGAGCAAGCTGGGCTTTGGAGCAACCCACCAGGCTTCAAGTCCCCACTCTCAATTACTTAAACCAGTTATTTCACCTCCCTGAGCCTCGGATTATCCATCTATAAAATGGGGCTAGAATTATACCTACCTGACAGGGTGGCTGGTGAAATGATATACAAGTGAAGTGATATATGCAACACTTGGCATAATGTCTGGAACAAGGTAAACACTTTATTATTATTATTATTATTATAATTTAGGTTGATGCATGGGGATTTTATAACCTACACTCAAACAATGTAGGTCAGATCATTTTTCTTTTCTTTTCTTTTCTTTTCTTTTGAGACAGTCTCGCTCTTGTTGCCCAGGCTGGAGTGCAGTGGCCTAATCTCTGCTCACTGCAACTTCCACCTCTCAGGTTCCAGCGATTCTCCTGCCTCAGCCTCCCAAGTAGCTAAGATTACAAGCGCCCACCACCACGCCTGGCTAATTTTTGTTTTTAGTAGAGATGGGGTTTCACCATGTTGCTCAGGCTGGTCTTGAACTCCTGACCTCAAGTGATCCACCCATCTCGGCCTCCCAAAGCGCTGGGATTACAGGCATGAGCCACTGTGCCAGGCCTGCAATTACTTTTGCTCCTACCTAATATCATCCCCACAACCGCCTTCTGGGCAGAAACCGGCAGGCTCTCTTGGAGAAGTCACAGGCGTGGCCATTTCCTGCAAAGAGCCAAACCCCCATTCCTCTGTGCCCCTCCTCTCCCACCAAGTGCTTTATAAAAATAGCTCTTGTTACCGGAAATAACTGTTCATTTTTCACTCCTCCCTCCTAGGTCACACTTTTCAGAAAAAGAATCTGCATCCTGGAAACCAGAAGAAAAATATGAGACGGGGAATCATCGTGTGATGTGTGTGCTGCCTTTGGCTGAGTGTGTGGAGTCCTGCTCAGGTGTTAGGTACAGTGTGTTTGATCGTGGTGGCTTGAGGGGAACCCGCTGTTCAGAGCTGTGACTGCGGTGAGTGTTTCTAAACACCCTTGGTTTGGGGGTAGCAAAGGGCAATGGAATGGAGGCTTTCTCAAACCTCACCCCTGACCCCAGGACTCAGGCCCAGCTCATCAGGGCTTTGAGGGAAGGTTCCTACCTCCCTTCCTGAGGAACAGGAAATACCCTCCTTCCCAGCACCAGTAAAGCTGCGGTTTGGAGAAACGCCAGGGCTAGAGTGTTGTGGAGAAACCAATCGTTGTTAACATCTCATTTTCAGGCTGCACTCAGAGAAGCTGCCCTTGGCTGCTCGTAGCGCCGGGCCTTCTCTCCTCGTCATCATCCAGAGCAGCCAGTGTCCGGGAGGCAGAAGGTAGGCTCAAGATCAGCCTGGCAGAACGCCAAACCTAGGGCCCCTGGCACCCAGAGGCGAGGGGGTGCCTGCTGGCTGCCCTGTCCCCACTCCCTGAGCTCTGTTTTCCACTTTGTTGACTAAGGTCCTCCCTGGGGTGGGTTCCGGGGACAGGGGAACCCAGGTCCCCAAGGGTTCTTGGTTGGGTACGGCTGCACAGGACAGCTTCAAGTCTGGGTCTGGGATAGTTGCTGCCTTCTTTCTTCACCACACCTGTGGTCTCCCTGGGTCTTGGTGGGGCGTGTATGTGCAGGCCCTGCTCTGTTTTCAGCAAACCTCGCTGAGACAGGAGCTTTGGGGTGACTTATTCCCAGCCTGCCTCCTAGAGGTGTCTCTAAGAGCAGCCTCTGGGAGTGGCTGGGCACCAGGGAAAGGGGAACTGGGAGGAAGTGCCCAGCCAGAGCCTCAGTCCCAGAAGGGCAGGAGGGCAAGGGGAGAATGGTCATGGATTTCTTGGTGCCCACAGATGCCCCACTCCAGCCTGCATCCATCCATCCCGTGTCCCAGGGGTCACGGGGCCCAGAAGGCAGCCTTGGTTCTGCTGAGTGCCTGCCTGGTGACCCTTTGGGGGCTAGGAGAGCCACCAGAGCACACTCTCCGGTACCTGGTGCTCCACCTAGCCTCCCTGCAGCTGGGACTGCTGTTAAACGGGGTCTGCAGCCTGGCTGAGGAGCTGCGCCACATCCACTCCAGGTGACTCACTGCAGTACCCAGGGACGGGGTATCCAACGTGTGTCACTCCCTTGATGCCTAGCCCTGCCCCTCCTTGAACCTCTCTGGCTGAGCTGGGCTGGGGGCTGGGGTCTGGGGTCTGGCTGTCACTCACAGGTACCGGGGCAGCTACTGGAGGACTGTGCGGGCCTGCCTGGGCTGCCCCCTCCGCCGTGGGGCCCTGTTGCTGCTGTCCATCTATTTCTACTACTCCCTCCCAAATGCGGTCGGCCCGCCCTTCACTTGGATGCTTGCCCTCCTGGGCCTCTCGCAGGCACTGAACATCCTCCTGGGCCTCAAGGTATGACACAGGGGGAGGTAGAAGCTCTGGCCAAGTGGTGGCTGTGGCTGGTGTGACCTGCCCTGAGCTGAGTACTGGGAGTGGGACTGGTTTAAAGGCTGGAGTCCATGGAGTAGAACCTATAATGTCCTGGAACAGTGGGTTTGGCAATGGCAAAAGAGGGATCAAGTCAGGAGCAGGTTGGGAAGCCTTGGAGGAGGAGGAGGAGTTCTCTGGGTGTCCTTGATGGAGGCCCCCCAGCCACATCCTGCTGTCCACAGGGCCTGGCCCCAGCTGAGATCTCTGCAGTGTGTGAAAAAGGGAATTTCAACGTGGCCCATGGGCTGGCATGGTCATATTACATCGGATATCTGCGGCTGATCCTGCCAGGTGGGCCATCCTCTCTGCCCCCATTTCTCGATCTACAAAACAGACACTAAGACACACAGCCTCTTGTGTTTCTAAACACACAGAACTCACTATATTTTTCAAAGCATTTTCATGTCTACCAAATCCTTTAATCCCAAGGCATGAAGGATGTTGCTATGATGCCTAGTTTGCAGAAAGGAATATGGGGCTTAGAGCCATTAAGTGACTTGCCCAAGGTCACTTGTGAATTCTTTTTTTTTCTTTTTGAGAAGGAATCTCCCTCTGTCGCCCAGGCTAGAGTGCAGTGGTACCATCTCGGCTACTGCAACCTCCTCCTTCCAAGTTCAAGTGATTATCCTGGCTCAGGTTCCCGAGTAGCTGGGATTATAGGCACCCACCACAACGCCCGGCTAATTTTTGTATTTTTAGTAGAGACAGGGTTTCACCGTATTGGCCAGGCCGGTACAAACTCCTGACCTCAAGTGATCCGCCTGCCTTAGCCTCCCAAAGTGCTGGGATTACAGGCGTGAGCCCAGCTGTAAATTCTTTCAATAAATATTTACTGCATGCTGTGTGCTCTCATGTGCCTTTTCTAATTCACACCCTATGAGGAAGGAATAATCTTTATTCCTGTTTTATTTTATTTATATATTTTTTAAAAAGAAGAGGGTTTTGCTATGTTACCCAGCCTGGTCTCAACTCCTGGGCTCAAGCAATCCTCCTGCCTTGGCTTCCCAAAGTGCCGAGATAACAAGCAGGAGCCACCAAGCCCATACCTATTTTAGATTTTTTTTTTTTTTTTTTTTTGAGACAAAGTCTCACTCTGTTGCGCAGACTGGAGTGCAGTAGCACAATCTCAGCTCACTGCGACCTCTGCCTCCTGGGTTCAGCCTCCCAAGTAGCTGGAATTACAGGTCCCTGCCACCGGCATGGCTTTTTTTTTTTTTTTTTTTTTTTTTTTTGTATTTTTAGTAGAGACAGGGTTTCACCATGTTGCCCAGGCTGGTCTTGAATTCTTGACCTCAAGTAATCCACCCACCTTGGCCTCCCAAAGTGCTGGGATTACAGACATGAGCCACTGCACCAGCCTTAGATTTTTTTTTTTTTTTAAGATGGAGTTTCACTTTTTCACCCGGGCTGAAGTAGAGTGGCACAATCTGGGCTCACTGCAACTTCTGCTTCCCAGGTTCCAGTGATTCTCCTGCCTTAGCCTCCCAAGTAGCTGGGATTTTAGGTGCCTGCCACCACGCCCGGCTAATTTTTGTATTTTCAGTACAGACGGGGTTTCACCATGTTGGGTAGGCTAGTCTCAAACTCCTGACCTCAGGTGATCCACCCACCTCGGCCTCCCAAAGTGCTAGAACTATAGGCATGAGCCACTGTGCCTGGCCTTTTTTTTTAAGTGCAGTTCTGAGAGGTAAAGTGATTTATCCGATATCACATAGCTTAGAGAGAGGAAGAGAAAGGATTTGAACCCAGGTTTGTCCAGAGCCTGGACCCTAGACCACTGCACCGTGGAGCCTGTGTTTGTTGTTGTTGTTGTTGTTGTTGTTGTTGTTGTTGTTGTTGTTGTTGTTTTGAGATGAAGTCTCTTTCTGTTACCCAGCCTGGAGTACAGTGGTGACAAGATCTCAGCTCACTGCAACCTCTGCCTCCCAGGTTCAAGTGATTCTCCTGCCTGAGCCTCTTGAATAGCTAGGATTACAGGCACGTGCCACCATGCCTGGCTAATTTTTGTATTTTTAGTAGAGACAATGTTTCACCATGTTGCCCAGGCTAGTCTCAAACTCCTGACCTCAAATGATCCACCTGCCTCAGCCTCCCAAAGTGCTGGATTACAGGCGTGAGCCACTGTGCCTGCCCTAAGCCTGTGTGTTTTATTCTTCTGACTTGCAGGCTAAAGCGGCAGCTCTTCCATATCTCATTGCTATCTCCTAGGGCTTCCGCTAGGAGACTGATCTGGGGCTAGAGGCCTCCCTCTGTGCACACGAGAATGCTGGAAATGTCACCTCTCAGGGCTCTGCCTGCCTCTCAGCCCTGAAAGCCATGGTGGAAAGGGGTGGCGCTGACATAGACATCTGAGGAAAGAAGTGAGGGAGGGTAAAGGGTGGTGCAGTAAGAGGAGGGGTGGGGAGGGCTTTTGGAGGCGCTGCCCCTCCTGGCCTCCTGTACAATGAGAGTGCACTGGACTCTCCATTCTCTGGCACCCACACACTGCGGGGGCCAATGACCTGGGTCTCACTCCTGAATCAGGTGGGAGATAGGGTTAGCAGGAATAACTTCTTGGGCTTCCCTGCCTCAGAGCTCCAGGCCCGGATTCGAACTTACAATCAGCATTACAACAACCTGCTACGGGGTGCAGTGAGCCAGCGGCTGTATATTCTCCTCCCATTGGACTGTGGGGTGCCTGATAACCTGAGTATGGCTGACCCCAACATTCGCTTCCTGGATAAACTGCCCCAGCAGACCGGTGACCATGCTGGCATCAAGGATCGGGTTTACAGCAACAGCATCTATGAGCTTCTGGAGAACGGGCAGCGGGTAAGTGTGCAGGGGAGTGGGGGTCTCTGAGGAGGGGTCAGGACCCCAGAACCCTGGGCCCTAGCCAAGCACTGATGAAAATTCACTGCCCTTCTCTGAGCTGTAGTGTCCCTAGCTGGTCCCAGGTCTGGGCAGGATTCAGCTCTGAATGATAATGATGAGTAACATTTATCGAGCACTTACTACAAGCTGGATGCTATTCTGGGTGTGTCATCTGATCACCTCATTGAATTCTCACCACCACCCTATGGGGTAGGGACTGTTAGCATTCCCACTTTACAGAGGAGGACACTGAGGCTCAGAGACACCGTAGGAAAGTGGACGATTTAAACTTGACTGTACCATGCTCTTGACCATAAAGCTGCCCCAGACGAAGGCTGTGAGAACATCTGAAGGATTCATGTGGGTGCAGGGGAACCCAGACCAGAGTTGAACCCAGAGCCTAGCCCCAGACCTGATTCCCAGCTGGAGCAGTTGACAGCCTCGGGTCTTGCCCTAGGATCTTGGAAGAAGGATCTGTGAAGGGTAAATTTAGCCCAGCCGTGTCCCTGATTTCAGAGTTGGGTATCAGAGGCAAAGGCAGGCCAGACAGCATAGACCCCATTAGGGTGGCCACCTCCCAGGACTCTATCGTTACAGGCTGAGGGAGTGGGGCCTCAGCCCGTGGCACTGGGGGCCAGAGCCTGGACTGGACCCTCCATTCTCCATCCGCCTGGCCCCTGGCTTAGTCTGGTCTTCCTCTTACCTCCTCTAGGCGGGCACCTGTGTCCTGGAGTACGCCACCCCCTTGCAGACTTTGTTTGCCATGTCACAATACAGTCAAGCTGGCTTTAGCCGGGAGGATAGGCTTGAGCAGGCCAAACTCTTCTGCCGGACACTTGAGGACATCCTGGCAGATGCCCCTGAGTCTCAGAACAA
Source organism: Homo sapiens (assembly GCF_000001405.40). Taxonomy (NCBI): domain Eukaryota; kingdom Metazoa; phylum Chordata; class Mammalia; order Primates; family Hominidae; genus Homo; species Homo sapiens. The sequence goes on along the minus strand of NW_021159996.1, from coordinate 67,146 downwards.
CTGCCGCCTCATTGCCTACCAGGGTGAGGGGTTGGTAGGGTGAGGGGTTGATAGGCTGGAGGGCAGGAGGAGTCAGGGGTCCCAGGGTCTCCCAAAGAGTCAGAAGGGGCTATGGAGCACCATGCCCTGGGCCTGTCCTTCCTTCCCTGGGAGAAGCCCCCTCTTCCCAGCACACCAGATTGCTTTTTAGGTCTTTGACTGTAATCCCTCAGGGGAGCCTGAAGAGGTGGGTTCTAGGGGCCTCTCACTTCATCTAGGATTCCAGAGGAAACAGAAGAGTCCCAGGCCAGTATGTACTGGGCACAGGAGACTAGGGCTGCAGCCTCGGCTCTACTACTCCCTCACTGTGTGACCTCGGGCAGGTTTCTGCTCCTCTCTGAGCATTAGCTTTAAAAGTAAGAGGGTGGAATTTCATTCTCTCTGAAATCACTTTTTTTTTTTTTTTTTGAGATGGAGTCTCACTCTGTTGCCCAGGCTGGAGTGAAGTGGCTCGATTTCGGGTCACTGCAACCTCCACCTCCCGGGTCCAAGCGATTCTCCTGCCTCAGCCTCCCAAGTAGCTGGGACTACAGGCGCCCGCCACCATGCCCAGCTAATTTTTGTATTTTTAGTAGAGACGGGGTTTCATCATATTGGCCAGGCTGGTCTTGAATTCCTGACCTCATGATCTACCTGCCTCGGCCTCCCAAAGTGCTAGGATTACAGGCGTGAGCCACTGTGCCAGGCCTGAACCACTTCTACCTCTAGGATTCTATGAAACTCTAGTCCCAGTGGCTGGGGCTTGGGTAGGAAGGGGGGTAGGGAGGGTTAGGGGATCTTCCCAGCAAGTTCTCTAGGTATGTTTGAGTGGGAATGGGTAAGATCCTCATTACTCTCTCCCCTATCTCCCTGTTCCAGAACCTGCAGATGACAGCAGCTTCTCGCTGTCCCAGGAGGTTCTCCGGCACCTGCGGCAGGAGGAAAAGGAAGAGGTTACTGTGGGCAGCTTGAAGACCTCAGCGGTGCCCAGTACCTCCACGATGTCCCAAGAGCCTGAGCTCCTCATCAGTGGAATGGAAAAGCCCCTCCCTCTCCGCACGGATTTCTCTTGAGACCCAGGGTCACCAGGCCAGAGCCTCCAGTGGTCTCCAAGCCTCTGGACTGGGGGCTCTCTTCAGTGGCTGAATGTCCAGCAGAGCTATTTCCTTCCACAGGGGGCCTTGCAGGGAAGGGTCCAGGACTTGACATCTTAAGATGCGTCTTGTCCCCTTGGGCCAGTCATTTCCCCTCTCTGAGCCTCGGTGTCTTCAACCTGTGAAATGGGATCATAATCACTGCCTTACCTCCCTCACGGTTGTTGTGAGGACTGAGTGTGTGGAAGTTTTTCATAAACTTTGGATGCTAGTGTACTTAGGGGGTGTGCCAGGTGTCTTTCATGGGGCCTTCCAGACCCACTCCCCACCCTTCTCCCCTTCCTTTGCCCGGGGACGCCGAACTCTCTCAATGGTATCAACAGGCTCCTTCGCCCTCTGGCTCCTGGTCATGTTCCATTATTGGGGAGCCCCAGCAGAAGAATGGAGAGGAGGAGGAGGCTGAGTTTGGGGTATTGAATCCCCCGGCTCCCACCCTGCAGCATCAAGGTTGCTATGGACTCTCCTGCCGGGCAACTCTTGCGTAATCATGACTATCTCTAGGATTCTGGCACCACTTCCTTCCCTGGCCCCTTAAGCCTAGCTGTGTATCGGCACCCCCACCCCACTAGAGTACTCCCTCTCACTTGCGGTTTCCTTATACTCCACCCCTTTCTCAACGGTCCTTTTTTAAAGCACATCTCAGATTACCCAATGTGAGTGTGTCGTCTTTTTCCTGCTGGACTCTGACCGATATAACAGATGGGAATTACTGTCCCTAATGTCCAAACCTGCCTGCACATGCATGCCTCCCTGCACCCCTCCTCATCTTGGTACAGGGCAGCAGGGTGCTGCGTGTCATTTACCATCTGGACAGAGCCTACCAGTTGGGCTGAGGGCACCTGTCCTTTCAGTGCCTTTCTCTTCAGTGAGAGGCTTGGGGAGCAGGGACCATAGGCTGGCCTGAGCCAGCACACAAATGATGCCATGAAGGAACACAGCTGTGTCCTGGGCAAGGGGCCACTCAAAGGAGCAGGTGTCACTATAGGTGCCAGATGAGAGAGCCTGCAAACGGACAAGGGGGAAAGAGTTTGTGTGATGAGATGGGACAGTCCCTGGAGGGCCTTGGACAGCACAGCCAGCTGCCGTGCCATACCTTCCACCATCACGGTTACAACTGAGCCACTGATTCAACACTGTGGTGGCACAGCTGTCCCCATCTGGGAGGGAAGGCAGCCCATCTCTGTTAGTTCCATTTGTCTCACCAAGCTGGGCTCCTTCCCTCCCTCCCACCTTTTTTTTTTTTTTTTTTGAGTTGGAGTTTCGCTGTTGTCACTCAGTCTGGAGTACAACGGCACGATCTCAGCTCACTGCAACCTCCGCCTCCCGGGTTCAGGCGATTCTCCTGCCTCAGTCTCTTGAGTAGCTGAGATTACAGACATGCACCACCATGCCCGGCTAATTTTGTATTTTTAGTAGAGACGGGGTTTCGCCAGGCTAGTCTTGAACTCCTGACCTTGGGTGATCCTCCCACCTTGGCCTCCCAAAGTGCTAGGATCACAGGCATGAGACACCGTGCACTGTGCCTGGCCTGTTTTGGTTTTTTTTGTTTTGTTTTGTTTTGTTTTTTTTTGGTCACAAAGGCTCAATATACATTTCTGAGTACAGCATCACTGTGGAGAAATGCTCCACACAGACACACATGGGTTAGAAGGAACTGGCTGCCCCTAAGAACGGCAGAGCCAAGGGAGTCAAGGGGGAACAGTCCCCACTCTCCCTAAGTATCCCACCCTGTCCTCAAGGCCTGAAGATCCTCCATCATCACACCAGTGGCTTGTATACTAGAAACCAGCCCAGAATCAAAGGCCTTTCCAATCCATCCAGTAACTGTCATGGGGCTTAGGCTGTGGAGTCTGATGGCCCCAGCTTCAAATCCTGACTCCACCACTTAGGACCTGTGTCTACTTAGGTATCTTGATAACCCTCAGTTTCCCCAAGTGTAAAACGGGGATAGCAGTGGCCCCTCCCCTGGAGGTTGTTGTGAGGAGTGAATGGTATCATATCTGTAGGTCCACAGAGAAGCCTGGTGTCCAGCACTTAGCTGACCCACAACAAGGGGCAGCTATTAACACTTTAGCTGCCTCTCCCCAATCCCAAAGGAGGCAAGCCTGCCCTCTGCACACACTGCAATCCCCACCTCTGTTCCTTTTTATATTCTGTTATTTCCCAGCCTCCCTGACTGTGGTGGGGTCTTGCCAATGCCCCCAGGGGACTTCTTGTCCCCAGGAGTTCCCCAGGGTAGAGCACCAGAGGTCCTGCCATAAATGTCTGTCTGCGTGTTCTTGACTGCAGATGAGTAAGATTCAGAGGTGCTGGGGAAGGCAGTGCCACCAGCAGGCACTGAGCCACCAGGAGGCCCAGTTTTGTCTTCCTGGCTTCTGGATGCATCATCCTGACCCCCCTGCTGATTAGACCCAGGCACTCCCACAGCTGGGAGTGGTCCCCACCCCACTCCTTCCTTCCCAAAACAAGTTCCATGGAGCTCCTTTTCCTTTCCTGTTTTCTCATCAGCCGGAAAGATCTGGGAAATGTCCTGTGGTACATTCTAGGCTTGTTCCAACAGGCCCAGGCACACAGAAAGTGGGAGGCAATGAGAGGCTCCCAAATTCCCCCATCCCTTCTGGAGAGGCAAGACAGAGTCAGTGGGGGCCTTTGAAAGCCAATCTTTGAACTATAAATTGTGCTTGGGCTTACAAGGACTTCGGAGCTTGTCAACAAGGTCTGGGCCCTAACAGCCGAAGGACTGCCCCTGACTGACTGCCCCAAGGAGAACAGACGTTCGTCACTTCCCTAAGACCAGTGAGCCTAAGGGAAGGCAGATCCCAGCTTCTCCGCCTGGGCTCTCCCTGGCTGGCCTTTGTAGGATGAGGGCCTCTCCACGGGGCCTCTGACATTCCTGCTTGTGGGGAGTTGGATTCACATTACAAAGGAAGGAGATTAAGCGTGCAATGAAGGGGCAGAGACTCAGAAAAGGAGATTCAGGGGTCTGGTGGTCCCTGAAGAGGAGGGAGGGACTTTGTGAGGTGGCCTTGGGCCCTGGGAAGGCCCCCCGCAGCATGTTTCTGGGCAGGGCCCTCAAGTTTTGATTTCTCTTGCCCACCACAGGGCTCTCTCTATAAATGTTCTGAGAGAGCAGCTCCAGCTGAGTCCAGTGTGCCCTTCCGACGCTCTGATGCCCAGGCTCCAATTTGCTTTTGCCCTAGTTCTCTGCCCGGTTTCTTGTTCTGAGCTAGGTCAGGCTAACTCTCCAAAGTCTCCCTCCTACAGACAAGTGACTTCATCGATGCTGGGCCTGGGTCCATCTGGCGCAGGGCAGGAGCCAGGGACAAGAGGGCCCGGTGGTGCTTCTTCAGGACTGTCTTGGGGGCCCAGCACCCGCCAGTGGATGAGGTAGATGCCACCATCTGGCTTTGGGGTCGGTGGCTCTGTAGGGAGAGTGGCATGGCCCTGGTGCAGCCTTGGCCCAAAATGGACTGCCACTATGATGCAGACTGCCAGCAGAACAAAGACAGCGACAATGACGGTGACCACAGGCAGCCCGTCAACTCGAGGTTGTTCCCAGGTGCCACTTAGCACCTCCGGAAGCTGCCTCTGGGGCTCCTGCTCTGATGAACTGTTCACAGCTGGAGAAGGCCAGGAGTAGTGGCCAGCCTGGGAGGAGAGTGGCAGAGAGAGAGGGTGACATGGATGTATACACACAGAAAAAGACCAAAATAGAAAGAGACAAACACCCAAAGGAACCTGAGGCGGGGGGTTGAGGGCGGGAGGGACCAGAGACAAAGACAGAAAGACAAAAAGTCAGAGTAAAGACCTGGAGAGAGGCAGAGAATACAGAGGTAAACCACATGGCAGCAGAGACGATCAAAGAAAAAGGCAGAAAAGGCAGAGGGGGATACAGAGAGGGAGAAAGAAAGAGGAAAGGGGAAAGAAAAAGGCACATAAAAACAGACAGAAATAAAGATACAGACAGAGACAGAGAAAAAAGAAACAGATGCAGGGAGACAAAGACATTCAGACAGGGTCAAAGAGAGTGCTGGCTTCATCACAGTCCAGCGTATACAGTTTGGCCCCCCAAGTTTCCTCCCACTGTCCCCTTTTCCCAGGTCTCCAGCAAAATTCCTAAATAGATCCTGTGCCCTGGGTCGGGAGTCTTGGCACGCTATGGGCTGCTGTCCCCACATCCTAGGCAGTGGGCAGAGAGCACCTGCTTCTTAAAGTCCTGGGGAAAGGGGGTCCTTGTCCAGCATTTTAGGCTCCCCTTACTCCCCACTCACACAGAAGACAGACAGGTGGTGCCCTGGCGGCGGGAGAGGTAGAGGTAGAGGTAGAGGGGATGTGAACTTAGAAGGCAGGGGGATGCCTCTTTCCATAACTGTACCCCTGCCACCCTGCCGAGGTCTCAACATCAGGTTCTGGGGTCCTGGAGGAGAGGGGGTGCCCAGTGTGGACTCCTGGCTCTGCCCAGGATGGATTGTGGAGACCCTGTGCCAGTCTTCCTCTGTCCAAGTCCCAGTGTTCTTCTACCAAAAGCTGGGGGTCACGATCCGTACCCCTGTCTGACTCCACCCTGCTTGGTATTAGATGGGGGTGGTGGCATTGTAGTGAAGGTAGCAAATGGCAAAACTGTAAACCCTAGAGCTGAGGTCCTCACAGGCCCAAGAAACTTTGCCTCCCTAGCTTCCCCTTCCCAGATGGGCCATCCTGGAACAAATCTTAGCGGGTGGAGCCCCTCTCTCTAACCCTGCACTCTCAGCATGGCCCTCCCCATGGGTAGGCCAGGAAAGGCTTCCCAGGACAAACCCATGTCCTTTAGCCCCTCAGTCCCCTTGTCCACACTATCCCATCTCCCACATGCATCCCTTCGTGGAAAGGCACACCCCCCACCCTACCTTGCAAGTGTCTCTGGGTCCCAGGCCACAAAGTTCCCAGGGCAGGGGGTGGGGAAGCAGCTCTAGATGTGCAGAGGAAAAGGGGAAGCTGAGGCTGGTGACAGACAGGGGGACCCTGCAGGGAGTCAGCCCAGCCTGGCAGGAAGGGGTGAGCAGAGTCTACCTGGTGCATTGTCCGGGCCGACACAGGGCTCCCTTGGGACTGGCAGCCAGCTGGGTAAAGGAGGGCTGGCCACCCTAATTCAGCCCCTACCCGGAGCTGCCACGTCTGCGGGGCCCATGGGCACACACCCTGTGCACACACTCTCACCGCTCTCCTGCGCTTGCACTTCCTTCCGGGAACATCTGGGCTACCCTGGGCTCTGCCCTTAACTCTGATAGTACCTTAATCTTCCTCCTTGGCGCCTCCTTTCATGCCCCCTGCCAGCTTCAGGAGCCTGGGTGTGCCTGACCACCCCTCCTCCACCAGATCTCAGAAGCCTGGCCAGAGCCCCAACCTAATCTGCCCCCCACCAAGTCATGCTGGCTCCTCGCCTTAACCAATTTCCTGGAGTTATTGTCCTTTGATCTTTTCTTTCTAAATGCAATATTTCTTTTTTTTTTTTTTTGAGATGGAGTCTCGCTGTGTCGCCCAGGCTGGAGTGCAGTGGCGTGATCTGGGCTCACTGCAACCTCCGCCTCCCGGGTCCAAGCAATTCTCCTGCCTCAGCCTCCTGAGTAGCTGGGATTACAGGCACCCACCACCATGACCAGCTAATTTTTGTATTTTTAGTAGAGACGGGGTTTCACCATGTTGGTCAGGCTGGTCTCGAACCCCTGACCTCGTGATCCACCCACCTCGGCCTCCCAAAGTGCTGGGATTACAGGTGTGAGCCACCGTGCCCAGCCTCTAAGTACAATATTTCAAACACAATGGAAACTGCAGATACATTCTCTCTTTAATAAATACATAATAAGTCTCTAAATCTCCAAGGCTCAACCACCAGCTCTGTCTTCTCTCAATAGTTTGTCACATTTATTTTTAAAATATTAATATTACAATGAAAACAGAAGCCCTCACTTCCTGACCTCTCCCCTCCTTCTCACCACAGGGATAAACATCTCATAGAATTTGATGTTTATTGGCCGGGTGTGGTGGCCCATGCCTGTAATCCCAGCACTTTGGGAGGCCAAGGCAGGAGGATCACTTGAGGCTAGGAGTTCGAGACCAGTCTTGGCAACATAGTGAGACCTTATCTCAACAAAAAATTTAAAAATTAGCTGGGTGTGGTGGTGTATACCCATAGTCCCGGCTACTTGGGAGGCTGAGGTGGGAGGATCACTGAGCACAGGAGATCAAAGACCATGAACCATGTTCGTGTCACTACACTGCAGCCTGTGCAACAGGGGGAGACCCCATCTCAAAAAAATAATAATAATAGAATTTGATGTTTATTATTCTCACACAAGGCATTGTTTTCCCTTTTTTCTTTTGGTTTTTATAAATATGAATTCTGTATTTCTTTGCATTTGCCTGAATGCAACTTCATTTGAGAGTATGTATGTGTTTTAATGTGTCCAAGTCACAAAAACTGCCCACCAATCTCTCCTCTCTCTAGAGACAGTTTTTTTTAGCCACAGCTAACTCTGTGGGACCAGCCATCCCTCATTCTGTCCATTGCTGTGCACTCACCATCCTCCCTTCCAGTCTGGAGAGCCAGAGACACCCTGGGAACTCCCCTCCGCTGGAGTCTTGATCCAGGATGAAACAGAATGTAGCATCCTGGTTCCTTGTCTCTCAGCCGAGCTGCCCACATCCTGACATCCAGGGCCCCCACTCAGACCTCCAAGTTCACTTGAGCCCAGATCCCTGGACTGCTGACCTGATCTGCAAAGTGAGCGGGACCTATTGCTGGCTGACCTTGAAGCCCCTGGCTGACCCTGAAGCCCCTGGCTGACCCCCTCCCAACGGGATCAAAGGCTCTGCTCATCCTCTGCTTCCCACCTTGGTCCATTTAGACTTTAGCCAGAGGGAATCTGGACTCTGCCACGGGTCCTGAACTTCGGCCACTGCTATTCACCTCCTGCCTCCTCAAGACACATGTGCCATTGCTCTGGCAGATATCTCCACTGGGGCTCCGGTCCCTGTGTCCAAAAGCCCAATTTTTGATCCTTCTGATGACTACTTCTTCCCTTTCCTCCCTCATTAATCCTGGATCTGTCTCCTAAAGGGCTTCCGAGAGGATAATACGGTGGAACTTCTGGGACCAGACTACAGCCCCAGCCTTCTGTGTCACTTCTCTACCACTGCTATGAGCTGCCCACCCATTCCTGCCGTCTAAACCTTAAACATCTGTTATAGCTTAGGTCAAGTGTGGCCTCCTCTAGGGACGAATTTTTCAGCCCTGTACTTGAGTAACTTGCTTTCTTTTCCTTAAGCCTTACAGCATAATGTTTCTTACCCGCTCCTAACATTTGTCACACTTTGTCTTATGTAACAGGTATGCGGAGGCTCATCTTTCCAGGAACCATGACTCTTTTTTTTTTTTTTGAGACTTAGTCTTGTTCTGTCACCCAGGCTGGAGTGCAGTGGCGAAATCTCGGCTCATTGCAACCTCCACCTCCTTTCCATCTCTCTGGGGGAGGGTGGAAGTGGCTTTGCTGGCCAGAGGAAGGCAAAGAGCAACCCTTCTTTCACTCTGTCACCACCAAAGGCAGGCAGGCTGAGGAGTCTGCAGAGGGAGCCGAAGGACAGGGGCCTGTGGGAATACCCTGAGCAGGCCAGAGTGGGGTTGCCATGATAGACTCAGGGCAGGTCTGAGAGGCGGCTGACTTTTGAGGTCATCGGAAACTCTGGGCTAGAGTTGGGTAAGTAAGGAGCAAAGGCTGCTTTCCTCTACCACACCCCACTTCTAGCCTTGTAAAAAGCTATAGGTCTGTAAGGAGTGTGGGGTTTCTTTTTAGGGTAATGGAAATGTTATAAAATTGATTTTATTTGGGGTGAGTGAACAACTCTCTAAATATATAAAAACCACTGAGGCAGCCGGGCCCGGTGGCTCACGCCTGTAATCCCAGCACTTCGGGAGGCCGAGGTGGGCAGATCACAAGGTCAGGAGATCGAGACCATCCTGGCTAACACGGTGAAACCCCAACTCTACTAAAAATACAAAAAATTAGCCGGGCGTGGTGGTGGGCGCCTGTAGTCCCAGCTACTCTGGAGGCTGAGGCAGGAGAATGGCATGAACCCTGGAGGCGGAGTTTGCAGTGAGCCGAGATCATGCCACTGCACTCCAGCCTGGGCAACAGAGCGAGACTCTGCCTGAAAACAAACAAACAAACAAACAAACAAACAAACCACTGAGGCTGGTGTGGTGACTCAGGCCTGTAATCCCAGCACTTTGGGAGGCCGAGGTGGGTGGATCACCTGAGGTCAGGAGTTCAAGACCAGCCTGGCCAACATGGTGAAACCCCATCTCTACTAAAAACACAAAAATTAGCCAGGCTTGGTGGCGTGTCTGTAATCCCAGCTACCCAGGAAGCTGAGGCAGGAGAATAGCTTGAACCCGGGAGCCAGAGGTTGCAGTGAGCCGAGATTGTGCGGCTGCACTCCAGCCTGAGCAACAGAGGGAGACTGTCTCAAAAAAAAAAAAAAAGCCACTGAATTGTGCACTTCAAATGAGGACGAGTGAGAGGGTGAAGAAGGCATCCACATGGTGGGGAAGGAATGGGAGCAGAAATGGGAGCTTGGTTACTGAAAGGGGAGTGATCCAATAAGTAAGTATTTAAGGATCATGGGAGTCAGAGAAGGGCCTTAGAGATGCTACTCCCTAGCACCAACGAGCACACTGACGACTCAGACCTCGGTTTCTTTCTTTTGAAAAAATTTGTTTTTTTGAGACAGGGTCTCACTCTGTGGCCCAGGCTGGAGTGCAGTGGCATGATCTCGCTCACTGCAGCCTCAACCTCCCAGGCTCAAGTGATCCTCCCACCTCAGCCTCCTGAGTAGCTGGGACTACAGGCACACACCACCCCACCCGGGTAATTAAAAAATTTTTTTTGCACAGACGATATCTCACTATGTTGCTCAGGCTGGTCTCAAACTCCTGAGCTAAAGCGATCCTCATGCCTAGGTCTCCCAAATTGTTGGGATTGCAGGTATGAGCCACTGTGCCCGGCCCTCAGTTTCTAAATATCATTTGCACCAAAAGGAATGAAGACCCCTTAAAGAAACAGCCGATTCCAGGGCTGGGGCAGGTGAAGCACAAGAAGTGCCTGGAAGCCGGGTGCGGTGGCTCACACCTGTAATCCCAGCACTTTGGGAGACCGAGGTGGGTGGATCACTTGAGGCCAGGAGTTTGAGACCAGCCTGGACAATATGGTGAAACCCCGTCACTACTAAAAATACAAAAATTAGCCAGGCTTCGTGGTGTGTGTCTATAATCCCAGCTACTCAGGAGGCTGAGGCAGGAGAATCACTTGAACCTGGGAGAAGGAGAATGCAGTGAGCCGAGATCATGCCATTGCACTCCCCCTGGGCAACCAGAGCGAAACTCTGCCTCAAAAAAAAAAAAAAAAAAAAAAAAGCCTGAAACATCTTATTATGCCAGAAAGTAAGGAAGTGCTCAAAAAATGATGGAGACGTGTCAAAAGGACACAGAAGCCAGCTTGTAGGGGCTAACAGTGGCCAAAATGGAGACAATTTGAGCATCAGAACAATAAATGATTGTATTCCAACCTAGTGAATAAAACAGAAATACATGAGTTTATATATAGATATAGAAAATATCTCCTCATAACATCTCTATTAATTATAAAGGATAAAAGTGTAACTTTAGAGTGGAGAAAACTGGCTGTGGTGGGCTAACTTGTGGCCCCCAAAACGATATGTCCATGTCTTAATCCCCAGAACATGTGAATGTTACATTATTTGGAAAAAGGGTCTTTGCAGGCTGGGCGTGGTGGCTCACGCCTGTAATCCCAGCACTTTGGGAGGCCGAGACGGGCAGATCACCTGAGGTCAGGAGTTCAAGACCAGCCTGGCCAACATGGTGAAACCCCATCTCTACAAAAATATAAACATTAGCTGGGCATGATGGTGGGTGCCTGTAATCCCAGCTACTCGGGAGGCTGAGTCAGGAGAATCACTTGAACCCAGGAGGTGGAGGTTGTAGTGAGCCGAGAGGCAGGAGAATTGCTTGAGCCCAAGAGGCAGAGGTTGCAGTGAGCTGAGATCACGCCACTGCACTCCAGCCTGGGTGACAGAACGAGACTCCATCGCAGAAAAAAAAAAAAAAAATTGAGCCAGGCATTGTGGCTCATGCCTGTAATCCCAGCAATTCAGGAGGTTGAGGCAGGAGGGTCACTTGAACCCAGGAGTTCAAGGCTTCAGTGAAGTGAGATTGTGCCATTGCACTCCAGTCCGGGTGACAGAGCCAGATCCTTCTCTCTCTTTTTTTTTTCCTTTTGAGTCAGGGTCTGGCTCTGTCTTCCAGGCTGGAGTGCAGTGACACAATCTTGGCTCACTGCAACCTCTGCCTCCCAGGTTCAAGCCATCCTCCCCATTCCAGCCTCCTGAGTGCTGGGACTATAGGCATGTACCGCCAAACCTAGCTAATTTTTTAATTTTTAGCAGAGACAAGGTTTTGCCATGTTGCCCAGGCTGGTCTCAAAATCCTGAGCTCAAGCAGTCCTCCCTCCTTGGCCTCCCAAAGTGCTGGATTACAGGCGTGAGCCATCACACCCAGCCCTGAGACCCTGTCTCTTAAAAAAAAAAGGAAAAAATAATGCATTATTTGATAGGATGCAAAGAGAGAGACTCAACATTGCTTCTTTGATGTCACTGCCGAGATAGATAACCTAAATTTTAATTAATTAATTAATTAATTAATTAATTAATTTTTTGAGACAGGGTCTCACTCTGTCGCCCAGGCTAGAGTGCAGTGGCATGATCTTGGCTCACTGCAACTCCACCACCTGGGTTCACGCCATTCTCCTGCCTTAGCCTCCCAAGTAGCTGGGACTACAGGCACCCGCCACCACGCCTGGCTAATTTTTTGTATTTTTTGTAGAGACGGGATTTCATCGTGTTAGCCAGGATGGTCTTAGTCTCCTGACCTCGTGATCCACCCACCTCGGCCTCCCAAAGTGCTGGGATTACAGGCATGAGCCACTGCTCCCAGCCTAGATAACCTAAATCTTATGAGGAAACATCAGAGAAACCGAAATTGAGAGAACTTCTATAAAATAACTGTACTGTAACCTTCAAAAGTGTTTAGGCCATGAAAATCAAGGAAAGTCTGAACTATTCCGGATTGAAGGAGACTGAAGAGACTTTCAGTGAGTAATTCTGGGCAGGATCCTTTCGCTATAAAGGACATTATTGAAACAACTGTCAAAATTTGAATAGGATCTGAAGATTAGATGGTATTAATATATTTATATTAATTTCCTAATTTTGATGGCTGTATTGTGATTATGTAGGAGACTGTCCCTTGTAGGAAATACACACTAAACTATTCGGGGTGATGGGGCATCCTGTTGACAATTTACTCTGAACAACAGTTCAGGGAAAAAAGTTCTGTGTAATGTACTTCCAACTTTTCTTGTGACTGTTTCAAAATAAAATATTAAGAAAATAAAGAAAAAAGGGCTAGGCATGGTGGCTCATGCCTGTAATCCCAGCACTTCGGGAGGCTGAGGTGGGTGGATCACAAGGTCAGGAGTTTGAGACCAGCCTGGCCAACATGGTGAAACCGTCTCTACTAAAAATACAAAAATTAGGTGGGCGTGGTGGCGTGAGCCTGCAGTCCCAGCTACGCTGGAGATTGAGGCATGAGAATGGCTTGAACCTGGGAGGTGGAGGCTGCAGTGAGCAGACATCTTACACTGCATTCCAGTATGGGCAACAGTGAGAGACTCTGTCTCAAAAAAAAAAAAAACAAAAAAAAAGGAAAGAAAAAAGGATACCATTCATTTAAATGATTGTATATGTATATGCATATTGTCAAAGACTGGAAGGCAAATAGACTGGAAGGGAATTAATAACAATAATATAATTAATATTAAGGAGGTAGGATTGTTTCTGACATTCCTCTGCTTTCGAATCTTTTTTTTTTTTTTTTTAATTTCAGTGATGGAGTCTCACTCTGATCATAGCTCACTGCAGCCTTGAACTCTTGGGCTCAAGAGGTCCTCTTGCCTTAGCCTCCTGAGTAGCTAGGACTACAGGCATGCACCATCATGACTGGCTAATTAAATTTTTTTTTTTTTTTTTTTTGTAGAGACAGGGTCTTGCTGTGTTGCTTAGTCTGGTCTCAAACTCCTGGCCTCAAGAAATCCTCCTGCCTCAACGTCTCAAAGTGCTGGACTGTAGGCATGAGCCATTGCGCAGCCCTGACCTTAAATCTTTTGAGTTTAGTTCAATAAATATGTGCTGAGGACCTGCTATGTGGCAGGCATTGTGCCAGGTCCTAGGAATATTGAAAAAAGTCACAATGCTGGCTTGCAGTCTGCAACAGAGAGAATCCTGGGATAAGGATGAGTGCTGCTGGATGCCGAGGACAGGGGACACCTCACCCCAGTGAGGATGCAGAGGGAGGAGTGCTTCAAATAGGGGGACTCTTGCTTTTCTATTAAGAATAACGATACCCGGCTTGGTGGCACATGCCTGAAGTCCCAGCTACTTGTGAGGCCGAGGCAGGAGGATCACTTGAACCCAGGAGTTTGAGTCCAGACTGAGCAATATAGCAAGACCCCATCTCTCTCTTTTTTTTTTTTTTTTGAGACGGAGTCTCACTCTGTTGCCCAGGCTGGAGTGCAGTGGTACGATCTTGGCTCACTGCAAGCTGCACCTCCCAGGTTCACGCCATTCTCCTGCCTCAGCCTCCCCAGTAGCTGAGACTACAGGCGCCTGCCACCACACCTGGCTAATTTTTGTATTTTTAGTAGAGACGGGGTTTCACCATGTTAGCCAGGATGGTCTCGGTCTCCTGACCTCGTGATCTGCCCACCTCGGCCTCCCAAAGTGCTGGGATTACAGGCGTGGGCCTCCCAAAGTGCTGGGATTACTGGCCAAGACCCCAACTCTTAAAAAAAAAAAAGTAAAAAAGGAATAATAATCATGCGTATAGGGCCTCTCTGAAAGATGTGGGGAGTCCTATCTGCATTGGGATCCCTGAGGAGGGAGAGGAATGTGGAGAATTCAGGGTCCAGGGAGCATGGGTGACTGGTGGGCTGGGCTTCCAGGCTGAATCATGGGAAAGGAGAACCTGGTCTGAAACAGTACTGGGCGGGATTGGTGTTAGATTCCAGGAAAACCCCCAGGCGGTCTGTGGTGGAACCTGATGGACCCTCAGAAGGGAAGAGAATGGGGATGGGGCCAGGTTGCCATGGTTGGTCATTGTGCATAGGCACTAGAGGCCATGCTGGGTGGGCACAGTCGCTGCTGCAGCCTCACATCCTCATCTGGACATGGCTGAGCAGGGCCCCTGGAGCTGGTCCCAATGTGTTTCCTTCTATTCTTTTGACAGGAAGCTCCTGGAGAGCCAGTCCCCACCCCCATCCCGCCCCAGCACTCCCTCTCTCTTCTCCACTATGGACAGAGCCTCCACTGAGCTGCTGCCTGCCCGCCACATACCCAGCTGACATGGGCACCGCAGGAGCCATGCAGCTGTGCTGGGTGATCCTGGGCTTCCTCCTGTTCCGAGGTAAGAGGTGCCTGCCGCTTTCCCATGGCAATTCCTCTCCGCAGCTGGCCATTCTAGGCATCGGTCTCTTTCTCAGGAGACACATGCTTTCCATCCAGGGGCTGTGCCCAGGGGAAATTCCAGAGCCTTTCCATGAAGATCAGTTGGATTGGGGGGTCCTGATTACCAGGCAGGGGTAAAATGGAGCTACGGTTAAACCCTCTTGTGGGAAATTGTCCTGGGGGAGCTGGGCTCCCCATAAAGGCTGGCCTCCTGAATTGTGGGAGGGAGCTGTGTTAGTGCAAGACCCAGGCCCAAAGCTCCTTCTAGGATGTGCTCAGGCTACTCATGACCCTCACCCTCTGATCTTGGGGCAGGGCTGACGACGGCCACTCTCTCAACTGTTCTAACACAAATCCTCTGCACCATGGGCTTCACAGGGGATCTGTTCTCTCCTTTCACATGAGGAGTAGCAACCTAGGAATTCCTAATGTAGATTTTAAAGTTAAATCACAGCAAGAGGGACTCAGGTTAGACACAAAGAACTATTCACCAAGGAGGATGTGCTTAACATTCTCACATCCAGGGGGCTAGAGTAGATGACCTCCAGAGGAGGCTACTTGGAAATGGCACCTCTCTGACAGGCTCTGCCAGCCAATGAGTTGTGAAGCCGCTCATAGGGGTCCTCTCATCAGGGAGCAGTTGCTGGGAATCATGACGAGTCCAGGGCATTCTGACTCACAGGGCAGCAACTTCCCTTTGACCATTCCTGCTCTGCCCCCACCTCACCCTCTACAAGTCCTCTGTGCTCAAAGCAGCAGAAAGAGTGCACAAGAGGGCTCAGATGGGGAGGGGTGGTGGCCCCTCGTCGGTGGTGGGTAAGAGGGCCTGAGTACCAGAACACTGGCTTCCGGAGATGTCAGGCATTTCTCTAAAAGTCCATGGGCTGGAGGACAAGACTCTGATTGTCCCCATCCCCTCCTACCCCCTCCATGACAGAGTCACAGGTCTGGGGCTGGGGAACAAGGCTGTTGTGGAAACTGCAGGTGAAGCTCATGAGGTGGCATTTTCACAGGCCGAGACTTTTCCCAGCCTCCCTACCCACTGTTTTCTCCCAGGCAAGTGCCAGCACTCTCAAATGCCCTGTGTCGGCTGTACCTAAGCTGCTGTCACCCGCCCCGAGTTTCCTAACCCTTCATCCTGAAGTGTGCAGAGCATTTCCTGGCTCCTTCATCTTGGTGGACTGAGGAATCCTGAGCACATTCAGGCCCATAAAGGGACTTGACTACGGATACCCAGAGGCAGGGCAGACTTGAGACTTGGAGGATTTGAGAGAACAGGGCAAAAACAAAAGTGTCTGGCCTTCATTGAGCATGTCAGGCACTGCGTTAAGTGCTTCATATGCATTTTCCTTCCTTCACAACAACTTGCGAGGTACTGATACCACTTGCATTTTACTTAGTTATTTTTGAGACAGGGTTGCTCCATTGCGCAGGCCAGAGTTGCAGTGGCATGATCATGGCTCACTGCAGCCTTGACCTCCTGGGCTCAAGCAATCCTCCTGCCTTAGCCTCCTGTGTAGCTGGGGGCTACAGGCACACACCACCACACCCAGCTAATTTTTGCATTTTTTTGTAGAGACAAGGTTTTACCATGTTGCCCAGGCTGGTCACTTGTACTTCAAAGTAAAGAAAACTGAGGCCTAGGTCAGACAGCGACAAAGCCAGGACTTGAACTCAGGCTTGCCAGGCTCGATTAAAATCCACGATTTTAACTTCTAAACTATGCTTTTGAGGAAAAAATGGGGAGGGGTGTGTGTGGAGATAGACTAGAAGGGGATAAAGCAGACAGAATTAGAGAGGGGAGACCTGGGAAATCAAAAATTCCTGTGGCTAGAGTTCTTTGGGAATCTGCAGGCCCAGTGGTCAGAGACACCCTCGGCTGTAGACACAGATGCTCCCTAAGTCCCTCCCTTACCCACAGAGAAATCTTTGTTGGTGACAAAAAGTTTGGGTAGTGGGAGGGGCAAGAGGCAAAGAAAGAGCAGGGTCTTGAAGCTTGTGACTTTGGAACTCCTCCCAAGCCACTGAATAATTTTCTTTCTAGATAAATGCAGGAAGGCAGTTCCCTGTGCCTTCCCTGTACCTTCCCACCAAAAACTAAGTTATAACCTTACAGCATTTAGATAGTACATTAGGCCAGGCTCGGTGGCTCACGCCTGTGATCCCAGCATTTAGGATGCTGAGGCGAATGGATCACCTGAGGTCAGGAGTTTGAGACCAGCCTGGCCAACATGGTGAAACCCCATCTCTACTAAACATACAAAAATTAGCCGGGCATGGTGGCAGGCGCCTGTAATCCCAGCTACTCAGGAGGCTGAGACAGGAGAATAGCTTGAGCCCGGGAGGCGGAGGTTGCAGTGAGCTGAGATCGCGCCACTGCACTCCAGCCTGGGTGACCAAGAGCGAAACTCTGTCTCAAAACGAAAAAAAAAAAACAAAAAATACATTACATATGCTGGATTAGTAACTGATACATGTTTTCAGGACATGCCTTGGGTTAAAAGGATTCTCCAAGGGTCCTCCCCAGCTAGAAAGGGTTTTCTCTAGCCTGGGCTTCCTATAAATTTTGACTCCCCTCTTGACCATCCCCCTCTCGCCAACAAGGGAATGGGGCTCTCAGAAATGGTGATCTAGAAAAACATGGCCCAGGGTTTGGTAATTTTACACTTGGAAGCAATTAATTCTACACTATCCAGATGATAGCCCCATGGAGGAAGGCAGTGGCTTAAGGAAAATAAGCAGAGCAGCAGGTTGCCACAGGCTGGGGTGGGCCCCTGGCACCCAGCCGCCTCTGTCCACCCAGGCCTGGGCTGAATGCTCCCCTGATGCTGAGAGACCAAGGGAGCAGCAGAGCCAGGCCAGGGGCTGTAGTCCCTGCTCAAGCAGAGGGACGGGAACCCAGCTGGGCGGCTCCACTTCCCCACGTTGTTTTCCTTTCACATTGTTCACAGGTTTCAAGAATGATTTCATTGTGGAAAATGAGCAAATACAACCTGACCTTTCAGGTTCCACATACACAGCGGGACACACACAAGGGCACACGAGCATGCACATACATTTGCATAGAGCCCCGCAGACACACGTGTACATACAAAAAAGCCAGTGAGGGCTTCTGATTGGGGACTCTTGGTGACTGACCCCTCTCTGGGTTTGGTCAATAACAACCATTTCCTATGTATCCTCTGCCTGTGAGAGTGAATGGGTTGCTCATGCTAGAGCTTCCCTGCCTCCTATATATACCTCAGAACTTACTTTCTGCACAGGCCCCTACCTCTAGGCAAGATACAAGCCCTAATCCCCATCCCCATCTCACTCACCTTCCCGTCTCTCAGCCCCTTCCCTGGGGGCAGGACCAGGGTGACAGTAGCTTAAGGTAAACATTAGCCTAGAGACCTGGAGTCCTGGGCCCTTCCTTGTCTAGGTGTGGCAGGTCATTGATCTTCTGTCCTTAGAAATGTCACTAGTTTAAAATAACCTTCTCCTGACTCTGCATCAGGTTGGTAAAATGCCCATGTCAGATTGAAGAGACAGGGAAGGACTTCGGGACTCTGAGCCATGAGGTGGTGGTGATGTTGCTATTGAGTCACAGTCTCAGAGGAAGCCAGCACCGTGAGCCACAGCCCACATCCTTTAGTCCTCTGCCTAGTGTGTCTGCCTTCCAGCATGGTAGGCTTAGAAAGCCAAAACGTTTTTTTCTGTTTTCTTTTCTTTTTTTTTTTTTTTGAGACAGAGTCTCACTTTGTCTCCCAGGCTGGAGTGCAATGGCATGATCTCAGCTCACTGCAACCTCTACCTCCCGGGTTCAAGCGATTCTCATGCCTCAGCCTCCCAAGCAGCTGGGATTACAGGCGTGTGCCATCAGGCCTGCTAATTTTTGTATTTTTAATAGAGGCAGGGTTTCACCATGTTGGCCGGGCTAGTCTTGAACTCCTGACCTCAAGTGATCTACCCACCTCAGCCTCCCTAAGTGCTGGGATTACAGGTGTGAACCACCGCACCTGGCCAGTGTTTTCTTTTCTTTTTTCTTTTTCTTTCTTTTTTTTTTTTTTTTTTTTTTTTTTTTTTTTTGTTGAGATAGGGTCTCCACCTGTTGCCCAGGCTGGAGTGTAGTGGTGCAATCATAGCTCACTGCAGCCAGCCTCAACCTTCTGGTCTCAAGCAATCCTGCCACCTCAGCCTCCTGAGTAGCTAGGACTCCAGGTGTGCACTACTGTGCCTGGAGAATTTAAAAAAAAAAAAAAAACAAAACAAAACAAAATTTTTTTTTAGAGACAGGGTCTTGCTATGTTGCCCAGGCTGGGCCAGAAGGCATTCTAAGGGTTCCTTTCTAGGCTCTGTGCTGGGCAGGGGACTTACCAAGCTATGTGTTTTGCTTTCTCTTGCAGGCCACAACTCCCAGCCCACAATGACCCAGACCTCTAGCTCTCAGGGTAAGACCAAACACATGGGTCTACTCCAGCGTGTAGGCCTAGGAGCTTAGGAAGGGTGAGAGGAGCTCTATGCCAATTTAGCCTTAACCTCAGGGGGCTGGGGCCGCAGCTGGAGCGGGAGCTCTCAGGACTCACCAAGGCTGAGCTCATCTAAGGATTTTTTTTCAGCCTAGCTGAGTCTAATGTACCTTGAAAGAAAAAAGAGGTGAATGGTTGGGAATGAGGGGTGGGGGATGGGGTAGGGAGAAAGACACACAGATCTAGGGAACAAGAGAGGGAGATGGAACAGTAGGAGGCGGTGCACCCCTCAGCCTCAGATGTTCTGTTTCAGGAGGCCTTGGCGGTCTAAGTCTGACCACAGAGCCAGTTTCTTCCAACCCAGGTGAGTGAGTGTGGTTGCTGAGGTCCCTGCTCCTGCCCCACACCCATTCATTCAGACCTGCTTGGAGCCCAGGGGTTCTTGGGTGGGACAGGGAGTGTGGTGTCACCAAACCTACCCCACCTCCCACTCCCTATCTGCCTCTGTCCTTGCAGGATACATCCCTTCCTCAGAGGCTAACAGGCCAAGCCATCTGTCCAGCACTGGTACCCCAGGTACTGTGTCATTCAGACTACAAATGCCATCCAGGGAGGGCCCAGTGAGGACCCCAACAGTTTCTGCTCTAAAAGAGAATATAGACTGGGGCGAGCGGGAACAGACAAGGAAATAGACCCTCACACTGAGGATGACATGCAGGGTGAGAAGGGCTGCGGTGGGCACCAGCAGAAGTGTGGGAGCCCAGGCACATGTCAGTCACTTCAGACTCGGGGGCCAGGGATGACTCCCAGAAGCAGCTTCTGAAGCCGAGCTGAGAAGGGGTCAGCTGAGCATGTGGAGGCTGTGGGGTAGAGAGTAGTGGGGCTTATTCCAGGTGGGGTGGAGAGTAGTGGGGCTTATTCCAGGCAGAGGGAACTGCCCAGAGGTGAACAAGAGAATGGCCCCTTCTAGAACTGAAAGCAGGAAAGAAGAGGAAGATTTTGGACTGAAGAGCCCACCCGGTGCACATGCCGGCCAAGGCCCTGAGCAGGCCCGAGTGTGCTTCCTCATTCACGGCAGCTCCAAAGAAGGCCGCGCAGGCCCCCATGGCAGCCAGTAAACCCGTGATGCCGAGGGCAGGCACCGTGGATGGGCTCTCCCCGACCTGGTTGGGCCTAACTTGGGCCAAGCCACAGATGTACACATCAGGACTTGTTGAGTGCCCAGGGCGGGGGGCAGCGGTGAAAAACACTGGGTTCCATCTGGATGGGTTCCTTCTGCCCTCTTCAGGAGGCCACAGGGGTCAGGACCCACATCAGTGGCACCCTGGTTCAGGAAAGAAAGAGGTTTGGTGGGGCGTAGAGACAGGACCTTGGGCCTGGTCACAACGAAGGTAACAGGAGCTTAGACTTGAGACTGAGAAAGGCATACCCAGAGAGGAGAGGGAGGAGAAGGATACCCCAAAATGAAGGAAAAGGAAGGCAGAAAAGGCTGAGAAAGAGCTAGAGTCCTCTCAGGCAGGGAAGACTGGCCTTTGCTTAGCAGCGAGGGAGAAGAGCTGCTGGGGGATGCCCCCATCTTGGTCATGCTGTTTCATGGTGCAGGCGCAGGTGTCCCCAGCAGTGGAAGAGACGGAGGCACAAGCAGAGGTATGTCCTGCTGCACTCGCCCTGAAGAGAAGTCGGCAGGAGATGTCTGTGACCCTTTCTCTCGTCTTATCCCTTGGCTCTCAGATTTTTTTATTCTCCCAGACTTATTTGGGAAGGGGAAGTGAGGAGAGATAAGTGGAACAGCAATTGGGCCTGAAGTACAATGGGTTGAGAAGGGAAGACACAGGTGACATAGCACCTTTTTTTTGTTGAGAAGGAGTCTTGTTCTGTCGTCCAGGCTGGAGTGCAGCGGTGCGATCCCGGCTCTCTGCAACCTCCTCCTCCTGAGTAGCTGGGATTACAGGCATGCACCAAAAGGCCCAGCTAGTTTTTATTTTTTGTTTTTTGTTTTGAGACAGAGTCTCGCTCTGTTGCCTATGCTGGAGTGCAGTGGCACAATCTTGGCTCACTGCAACCCCTGCCTCCCAGGTTCAAGAGATTCTCCTGCCTCAGCCACCTAAGTAGCTGGGACTATAGGCACGCGTCACCATGCCCGGCTAATTTTTGTATTTTTAGTAGAGATGGGATTTCACCATATTGGCCAGGCTGGTCTTGAACTCCTGACCTCATGATCTGCCCGCCTCGGCCTCCCAAAGTGCTGGGATTACAGGTGTGAGCCACCGTGCCCGGTCTTTTTTTTTTTTTTTTTTTTTTTTTTTTTAGGAGAGATGGGGTTTCACCATGTTGGTCAGGCTGGTCTCAAACTCCTGACTTCAAGTGATCCACCCATCTTGGCCTCCCAAAGTATTGGGATTGCAGGCATGAGCCACCGCACCAGGCCAACATAGCAGTTTTTAAGAGGGCCAGAAATCTGTGCCCCTTAACAGGCAGCCTGGCTTGTTGGAGCCTTGCCTGAGCAGAAACATTCCTCCCACCTCAACCCTGGCACAATACAGACAGCTCTATTTTGCCCAGTCTGACCTCCTAGCTCTGCAGCATAAATTCTGGTCCTTCCCTAGGGGGAAGCGGGAGGGAAGCTAGCTCTAGCTTCCCTGTGTCAGTCCCCTTCGCTGATGCCCCTGACTCCACTCCATTTTAGACACATTTCAAACTGTTCCCCCCAATTCAACCACCATGAGCCTGAGCATGAGGGAAGATGCGACCATCCTGCCCAGCCCCACGTCAGAGACTGTGCTCACTGTGGCTGCATTTGGTGAGAGCGGGAGGAGAAGGTGGGACATAGGAGGGAACCCTACCCCTGGAATTGACTTGGACTCTGGGTCTGGAAACGCAAGTTCAAATCTCACCCATTTGTTCCAGGAGGTTCTGGCTGATGAGGAAGACCCTTGTGGGAGGGGGGCCCCTGCCCTCCAGTTAGCTCTTCTTGGCTGTGCTGGGTTCCATGTTCTCATGCAGGGATGGAGTCGGGTGGAGAGCCCACTCTGGCTAGGGGGCGGCAGGCTGAGAGCTCACCTGTTCAGCAGAGAAGTGGAACTCACTTTGCTCCTGGAGCCTGTCTACACAGTACTTATCTGGGAAGGGAATGCCGGACTCTTGTTGGCCCCTTTGTCCCCCCGACTGGCCCCCTTCACCCCATTCTTTTCTCTGTTCAGGTGTTATCAGCTTCATTGTCATCCTGGTGGTTGTGGTGATCATCCTAGTTGGTGTGGTCAGCCTGAGGTTCAAGTGTCGGAAGAGCAAGGAGTCTGAAGGTGCGTGCCCTGCCCTCGGGGATCTTTTTCCCCTCTGCTGGCGGACCCAGGGCTAGAGCCCCAGCTCACACCAGCCTGCATCTGCCACTCCATGAGCCGGAGGGTCCCCAGGTGGGCTTTGAGAGGAAGGCTGGACTTCTGAGTTACAGCATGTGAGCCCCAACCTGTGCCTTTGGCTTTTTACAGATCCCCAGAAACCTGGGAGTTCAGGGCTGTCTGAAAGGTAAGACCGTCAGAAAAATCTTCTATCTGACACCCAGACCCCAACTCCCAGAGGGAACCAACACTTCCTGCCTTCCACACCCACACACCCACACACCACACACCATACACCTTCACACATCACACACACACCCCCACACACCTCAAACCCACCACACACCCTACACCTCACTACACACACCCACACACACCTCAAACCCACCACACACCCTACACTTCACTACACACACCCACACACCACACACCACACACATTACATACATCACACATCACACACAACCCCCATATTATACACGCCTCCCACACACCTCAAACACACCACATACCACACACCCCACTAGACGCACATCTCACACACCACACGACCCCCACACACACACTCCCACACACCTCAAATACACCACACACCCCACACCCCACTACAGACACATACCCACACACCACACACACACACACCCCACTCATCAGACACACCACACACCCCACACATCACACATCACACACACACCCCACACATACCTCAAACACACCACACACCCCACTACACACACACACCACCACTCCACACACCACACATATCCCATACTATACACACACCCCAACACACCTCAAACATACCACATGCCCCACATCCCACACTACACACACACCCACACATCTCATACACACCCCACATACCACACACCACACACCTTATACTGTACACACCACCCTCACACACACCTCAAACACACCACACACTGCACCTCCCACACTACACACACATACCCACACACCACACATCCCCCACACATCACACACCACACACACCCTGTACTATACACACCACACACACACACCACAAACACACCACACTCCCCACACCCCACACTATGCATACACCACACACACCCCACACATCACACACCATACACACAACCCATACTATACACATGCCCCACACACCCCACACACCCACACACCACACACACCCCACACGTCACACACCACACACTCCACACCCCACACTACACACACATACCCACAAACCACACCCCACAAACCACACACACCCCATACTATACACCCCTCCACACACACACCTCAAATACACCACAGGCCTCACATCACACACACCACACCCCACACACATATCATATACCACACACACACCCCATACTATACACACATATACACACCACAAACCTACCACACTCCCCACACCCTCACTATGCATACACCACACACACCCCACACATCACACACCATACACACAACCCATACTATACACATGCCCCACACCCCCCACACACCCACACACCACACACACCCCACACGTCACACACCACACACACTCCATACTATACATACCTCCCCACACACATCACAAACACACCACACACTCCACACCCCACACTACACACACATACCCACCTACCACACACACCCCACGAACCACACACACCCCATACTATACACCCCTCCACACACACACCTCAAATACAGCACAGGCCTCACATCACACACACCACACCCCACACACATATCACACACACACACCCCATACTATACACACACACACACCACAAACCTACCACACACCCCACACCCCACACTATACACATATACCCACACACCCCACACATCATACACACACACCCCTACACACCACACACCACACATCCCACACCCCACACTACTCACACATACCCATATACTACACACACACCCCACGCACATCCACATACCACACACACCCCATACTATACACACACACCCCATGCACATCCACATACCACACACATCCCATACTATACACACACCCCCACATACACCACAAACACACAACATATCCCATACCCCACACTACACACACACCCACACACCACATACACCCCATGCACCACACATACACCCTATACTATACACACATCCCACATACATCATAAACACACAACATGCCCCATACACCACACATCCACAGCACAAACACACACACCCCACACCCTATACTACACACACACGACATACATACATCCTATACTACACATGCACCCCATACCCTATACCCTACACACCCACCCACACCATACCCACCCTCATACCCATACTATACACACCCACCCTCCCCACACACATACCCCACACACCCACCCAAACCACACACACACCACAAACACACCACGCATACCCACATCACACACCCCACACCCCATACCCAACATATCCACCCAAACAACATACATACACCACACACCCACACACCACACACATCCCCCCATACCATACACACAGACACCACACACACACCACACCACACACACACACCCCGTACCCTATACTACACACACACCACACACTTCATACTATACACACTCACACCACACACCCACCCAAACCACACACATCACACACAGACACCCCGTACCTCATACTACACACATACCTCATACTACACACACACCACACACCCAACCAAACCACACACACACCACAAACCCACACACCACATAAAAAACACATATGTACCCCATATTATACATACACACAACATATACACCTTACACCACACACACCACACATACACACTCCCCCACACATCACATACATGACACATAACACTCCCATACCATACACACACACCCCACACACCCCATACCACACACACACCCCATACCACACACACCCCACACCACATACACACACACCACACATGCATTACACCACACACACACACACAACACCTCACACCACATACCCCATACCACACATATACACCCCTCACACCACACACACATACCACACACATACAATCCTGACAGGCTCCTCTGAGGCCAGGGCTGGGGTGGGCAGGACAGGGGCAGACCTGAAAGGGAACAATCAAATGACAGGAGATGGACTGAAACTCTTCAACACCAGGGCTAACCCTCTATAACCCCATCATGAAAAGTGTAGGAATTCAGATTCTAATATAAAAAGACATTATCTCTAAGCTTAGGAACCACTTATTGAATACTTCTTATGTGCCGAACACAATGGTATATATTTTATAATATTATCTCAAATCTTTATAGCAATTATTCAAGGTATATATTACTTTTTTTTTTTTTTGACATGGAGTCTTGCTCTGTTGCCTGGGCTGGAGTGCAGTGGTACAATCTCAGCTCACTGCAACCTCCGCCTCCCAGGTTCAAGTGATTCTCCTGCCTCAGCCTCCCGAGTAGCTGGGACTACAGGCATGAGCCACCACACCCAACTAATTTTTGTATTTTTAGTAGAGACAGGGTTTCACCATGTTGACCAGGCTGGTCTCGAACTCCTGACCTTGTGATCCACCCACCTCAGCCTCCCAAAGCGCTGGGATTACAGGCATGAGCCACCATGCCCAGCCTTTTTTTTTTTTTTTTTAAGGGACAGGCTTGCTCTGTTGCCCAGGCTGGAGTGCAGTGATGCCAACAGGGCTCAAATGATCCTCCCACCTCAGCCTGTCAAGTAGCTGGGACTACAGGCATGTGCCACCATGCCCAGCTAATTTTTAATTTTTTTAATAGATATAAGATGTCACTATGTTGGCCAGGCTGGTCTCAAACTCCTGGTCTCAAGTGATCCTTCTGCCTCAGCCTCCCAAAATGCTGGGATTATAGGTGTAAGCCGAGACATTACTCCATTATACATTTTAAAAATTGAGGCTTTAGGCCAGGCGCGGTGGCTCATGCCTGTAATCTCAGCACTTTGGGAGGCCAAGGTGGGTGGATCACGAGGTCAGGAGTTCAAGACCAGCCTGGTCAAAATGTTGAAACCCAGTCTCTACTAAAAATACAAAAATTAGCTGGGCACGGTGGCAGGTGCCTATAATCCCAGCTACTCGGGAAGCTGAGGCAGGAGAATTGCTTGAACCCAGAGGCGGAGGTTGCAGTGAGCTGAGATGGTGCCACTGCACTCCAGCCTGGGTGACAGAGCAAGACTCCGTTTCAAGGGGAAAAAAAAAAAATTGAGGCTTTAGCGGATGCGATGGCTCACACCTGTAATCTCAGTACTTTGGGACGCTGAGGCAGGTAGATTGTGTGAGCTCAGGGGGTCAAGGCTGCAGTGAGCTGTGATCGTGCCACAGCACTCCAGTCTGGGTGACAGAGCAAGACCCTCTCAATAAAAACTAAAAAAATAAAATTGAGGCTTTAATAGAGGTTGTAACTTGGTAAAGATCAAACAAGTAGTAGGTAGTAAAACCAAAATTTAAATGCAAGTCTTGGCCAGGTGCAGTGGCTCACACCTGTAATCCCAGCACTTCGGGAGGCCAAGATGGCTGGATCATTTGAGGTCAGGCATTCAAGACCAGCCTGGCCAACATGGTAAAATCCTGTCTCTACTAAAAAATACAAAAATTAGCCGGGCATGGTGGCACGTGCTTGTAATCCCAGCTACTCAGGAGGCTGAGGCAGGAGAATCGCTTGAACCCGAGAGGTGGAGGTTGCAGTGAACTGAGATTGCACCATTGCACTCCAGCCTGGGCGACAGAGCGAGACTCCATCTCTAAATAAATAAATAAATGCAGTCTTTCGGTCTTCAAAGCACACTCGCATTTCATCATGATCCACCACCAAAATATAGATTTTTTGAGACAAAGGTCTAAGGCTCAACAACCTCACAGTTCCTTGACTCCCCATTGCCCTGCCCTCCTCCTCTCTTTAACCCAGACCCCCTTCCTCCCCCAGCTGCTCCACAGCCAATGGAGAGAAAGACAGCATCACCCTTATCTCCATGAAGAACATCAACATGAATAATGGCAAACAAAGTCTCTCAGCAGAGAAGGTACATTTTTCTGTTTCCTGCCTTCCTTCCCCAAATTCACCTTTCCCTTCCTCCTCCTACTTTCAGGCCAGAAAGGAGATACTTTCAAAGACTCTGGCTTTTCTCCCCTCTTCTGTACCCTGCCAATCCTAAAAAGTTCACCCTTCCCCATTATGCATTTATTTTGCAGGTTCTTTAAAAGCAACTTTGGGTCCCCATGAGTCCAAGGATGATGCAGCTGCCCTGTGACTACAAGGAGGAAGAGATGGAATTAGTAGAGGCAATGAACCACATGTAAATTATTTTATTGTTTCATGTCTGCTTCTAGATCTAAAGGACACTAGCATTGCCCCAGATCTGGGAGCAAGCTACCAACAGGGGAGACTCTTTCCTGTATGGACAGCTGCTGTGGAAATACTGCCTGCTTCTCCCACCTCCTCAGAGCCACAGGAAAGAGGAGGTGACAGAGAGAGAGCAAGGAAAGTGATGAGGTGGATTGATACTTTCTACTTTGCATTAAAATTATTTTCTAGCCTGCAGTCTAATTACTTTTAAGGTCTATGCTCCCATGCACATTTCTTAACAGTATGTTCTAGCAGCTTTTGGGCCTTGTTTCCTAGAACAGACATACATGCAGGTTTCTGCCCCTATGGGCAGCTCTTTGAGAAACTTGGATGGTCGATAGAAGGGACTTTGTGTCAGGTTTTATCAAGTTCACCTGGGTTTTGTTGTTGTTGCTTTTGTTTTTTTTTCTTGAGATGGAGTCTCACTCTGTCTCCCAGGCTGGAGTGCAGTGGCGTGATCTTGGCTCACCACAACCTCTGCCTCCCGAGGGTTCAAGTGGTTCTCCTGGTTCAGCCTCCTAAATAGCTGGAGCTACAGGCGTGTGCCATCATGCCTGGCTAATTTTTGTATTTTTTTAGTAGCAACAGGGTTTTACCATGTTGGTCATGTTGGTCTCGAACTCCTGACCTCAAGTGATCCACCCGCCTCGGCCTCCCAAACTGCTGGGATTACAGGTGTGACCCACCACACCCAGCCATTGTTTCCCCCTCGCCCCCTTCTTCTTCTTCTTTATACTAGCCTTGCTAAAGCAAAGGCTCAAAAAATTAGCTAAAAACTCAAAAACTCTCCACAGGAATCTTTAGTAAAAGGTGAAAGATTTATATGATCTGAAGAGAAACCAGAGTATCACCTGGTTTATTTTTATTAGTAGGGTTGAGGCGACTGACTAACCACTCCAATAGAGGAGAGAAACAAGGGGCTGTAAACAGTGACCAGTCGTCACCAAGAAAGAAGTTTTGACTAGGAAACTTCTTAGGGAAGTTCCTAAGTCACCTCTTGGGGAGAGGTGAATGAGAAAAGGGCAAATGTCCTCTGCCTGCCCCTGGGTAGACATGCATCACTTTGGTCTTAGCTATGGGATGAACCCTGGGAAGGTTTGCGGTGAAGATAGGTCTGTGACTTCATCAACACAAACCCCACCCACTTTACCCCATACAACAGTTATCTTGTGTCCAAATATAGAATAAAAGATTGTAGAAGTACTGGAAAGTCATTTAAAGAGAAGGAGGAAAAGAAAGGAGGTGTCTGCTTTCTTAGTCTTAGTCATGTTTACCATGACACTAGTCTGGAAATGAATCTTGGGGAAAATCAAGGGAGGAGTCATCCATGTGTGTCTTTCGGGAGTATTTAACTTAATTGGCAATTTGGAACATAGGGAGAACACAGCTTACTCATTCTGAAGCAACAATATGCTATTTTTTCCTGATTCAGACTTCTCAAGGTGATGAGAGAGACAGGCTAGAACAACAAGTTTCATCCCCTCTGTCTCATTAAAATTATTAAAATGAGACTGTAGAAACCGAGTGAGCAGGGCGTAGTGGCACATGCCTGTAATCCCAGCACTCTGGGAGGCCAAGGTTCCAGAGGATCGCTTGAGGCAGGAGTTCAAGACAAGTGTATTAGACCATTTTCACACTGCTATAAAGAAATACTGGGTAATTATAAGGAAAGAGGTTTAGTAGACTCAGTTCTGCATGGCTGGGGAGGCCTCAGGAAACTTACAATCATGATGGAAGGGGAAGCAGGCACCTTCTTCACAAGGCAACAGGAGAGAGAGTGAGCAAGATCAGGAAAAACTGCCGTATAAAACTATCAGATCTCATGAGAACTCACTCACTACCATGAGAACAGCATGGAGGAAACCACTCCCTTTATCCAATCACCACCCACCTGATCCCTCCCTCGACATTTGGGGGTTATGGGGATTACAATTCAAGATGAGATTTTGGTGGAGACACAGAACCAAACCATATCAACCAGGCTGGGCAACATGGCAAGCCCTTGTCTGTACAAAAAAATACAAAAATTAGCAGGGTGTGGTGGCACATACCTGTGGTCCCAGCTACTCAGGAGGCTGGGGATCACTTGCTTCTGGGAGGTAGAGGCTGCAGTGAGCCATGGTTGATTGCACCACTCTCCTCCAGCCTGGGTGACAGGGTAAGATGTGAAAGAAAGAAAACAAAGGAAGAGAAAAGAGAAAGAAAGAAAGAAAGAAAGAAAGAAAGAAAGAAAGAAAGAAAGAAAGAAAGAAAGAAAGAAAGAAAGAAAGAAAGAAAGAAAGAAAGAAAAGGAAGGAAGGAAGGAAGGAAGGAGAAAGAAAGAAAAGGAAAGAAAGAGAGGGAAAGAAAGAAAAAGGGAGGAAGGGAGGGAGGAAGGGAGGAAGGGAAGGAAGGAAGGAAGGAAAAAAAGAAAAGGAGAAGAGAAGAGAACTTACTGTATTCTAAAATCCCCTAGGACAGGGCCTGTAACCTGCCCATGTCTGTAGCTCCTGCATGACACACTGTGCCCAGCACTTCCTAGGTAATCTAAACTGGCTCTTGGGTGAAGGAAATCTGATCATAAGATTGGGCTCTGCCACAGACTTTGGGTGCAATTGTCCCCCTCCTCCAAGCCTGTTCTCTTATATCTTTACTTTTTTTTTTTTTTTGTACCACTGCTGGAGTGCAGTGGTACAATCGTGGCTCACTGCAGCCTTGAGTTCCTGAGCTCAACCAATCCTACCTCAGCCTTCTAAGTAACTGGGACTCTTGGCATGAGCCACTGCACCTAGCTAATTTTTAAAAATTTTTTGTAGAGACAAGCTCTTGCCGTGTTGGCCAGGCCAGTCTCAAACTCCTGAGCTCAAGTGATCCTCTTGCCCTGACTTCCCAAAGTGCTAGGATTACAGGCATGAGCCACCATGCCTGGCGGGTTTTAAAGTGAGCTGGCTGGACGACTTGGCCTTCACTATCTTTTCTCATTCTTACATTCCACAGTTCTATAGACTCTGGACGTAGGAAAAAATGAATACAATGTGCTAAGTAGAGATCACTCTGGGTGAGAGCCAGAGACAAGTTGCAGGCAGCTCTGGACAAGCCTTTCACATTCTCAGGAGTTCCATTTCTCCTGTGTATTAACAGGGAAGAATGCGCCCTACCTGGCCCTGGCTACCTCACAGGCTAGTGGCTAGGTAAAATGGGATAATAAACATGGAGATACTTGGGAAGTGAGCAATTGTAGCAGACAGCTTGGAGTAGGGCACCAGCACCCAGGTCCCACTTCAGGATCAAGGCGCTTGTTCCCCAGCTGTGGGATTGTTGGCTGGTTGATGATTGGCTGATGGGGGCTAAGAGTGGGAATGAAGACCTGGACCCCTTGCCTCAATTCCTTTGCCCCCATTCCTACTTCCCTTACTCCTCATAGCTGTTGTTCCAGGGGTGCTCACTAAGAAACCTTTAGTATGCAAATCTCAGCGTCTCAGAGTCTATTTTGTGGGGTACCTAACCTACGAAAGCAATACTGCAGTATTTTTTGAGGGGAGAGAAGACAGGGTCTGGCTCTGCCTCCCAGGCTGGAGTGCAGTGGCATGGCACAATGATAGCTCACTGCAACATCAAACTCCTGGGCTCAAATGATCCTTCTGCCTCAGCCTCCCAAGTAGCTGGGACTATAGACGTGTGCCACCACAACCGGCTAATTTATTTAAATTTTTTGTAGAAATGAGGTCCTGCTACGTTGCTCAGGCTGGTTACAAACTACTGGGCTCAAGACATCCTCCCCCCTCAGCCTCCCGAAGTGCTGGGATTATAGGTGTGAGCCATCACACCTGGTTAGTTGTTTGTTTTTTGTTTTTTGTTTTTTGAGGTGGAGTTTCACACTTGTTGCCAGGCTGGAGTGCAATGGCACGATCTCCACTCGCTGCAACCTCTGCCTCCCAGGTTCAAGTGATTCTCCTGCCTCAGCCTCCTGAGTAGCTGGGATTACAGGTACCCACCACCACGCCTGGCTAATTTTGTATTTTTAGTAGAGATGGGATTTCACCATATTGGGCAGGCTGGTGTCGAACTCCTGACCTCAGGTGATCCGGCCACCTCAGCCTTCCAAAGTTGTGGGATTACAGGTGTGAGCCACCATGCCCGGCCTTGGCTAGTATTTTTTAAATAATTCATATATATTTGATTTAAATCTCACAGCCAACAGCACATGACTTAGTAGCCACTTCTGGTCCAACATCCACCATTGGGATGGAACCCCTCAGGTGACATAACAATGTCTAGGATTCTGTTTGTGCTGTTGTTATTCTGCCTGCCATGGGCACTGAGTACAGCTGCTCATCATACTGGACTAATCAGGTCAAGGACATGGGGCTTCATTCTAAGTAACTCAGCTGTCATCTTCATTATAAAACCACACATTTTCCTCTGACTCTGGGCAATGACCTGCGTATATAAGCTGTTAGTCATAAGGTATTTATATGTGGGGGAAGAGGGAGACAACTGGTATTAATAATCTTTGAGATTGAAAGGCTTTTACCCTGACACTGACACCGCAGTACCACATAAGCCATGTGGATTTTCCTGTTGCTAAGTAACTCTATCCTTTGGGAAGGGGTTGAGGATGAATTAAATGCTGAATTCTGCTCTGGAGCAAACTCTAATAGAGAGGTTTCTCCTGGAGGAGCCTACTATTTATGCAAATCCAAGATGCCACCTCTGACAGGAAATCTGAGTGCAGCCTTCTGCAGCCCTTGCAGCTTCCTTGAAACCCTATCTCTTCCTTCATGTCTAGACAACAGGATGATGATTGTTTACAAGATGACTTCCTCCCTTTTCTCACACAGGACTACGTGGTCCTTAAACAGGAACAGGTGGCGGGGATTGGGGGCTAGCTGCAGAATGTCCTTCTCTCATTTTTTCCCTCATCCTATGGGAGGGCAACCAATAAACCAGCACAGACACACAGGCCCAGTGGGACAGGAGGATCATTTACTCAGCTTCTTTCTTCTAGGGCTGGATGGGGCAGCATCTCAATCATATAGGGCACAGGACAGACCTCAGTATCACCAGCAAGAATCCATTACAGTTCAACATGTAAGTAAGTGGAGGCGCCTTAATCCCAACACTTGGGAAGTCCCCGGGGGCAGGATTGCTTGAACCCAGGAGTTCCAGACCAGCCTGGGTAATATAGTGAGATCCCATATCTTAAAAACAAACAAAAAAAAAGCCAGGCATAGTGGGCATAGTGGCATGTGCCTGTGGTCCCAGCTACTCAGGAGGCTGAGGTGGGAGGATCGCTTGAGCCCAAGAGATCAAGGCTACAGTGAGTTGTGATAGCGCCACTGCACTCCAGCCCGTGTAACAGAATAAGACCCTGTCTCAAAAAAATAAAGTAAGTGGAGAAAACTGAGAGAAATCTGAGGCTGGCCCTAAGGTAAAATGGTTTAGCAGATGAAGGATCATTGCAGGCCCCCTTGACCTAGTTCTGGCACACAATTTCCCCAAGCCCAGCTAGTACTACTCTATTAAATTTGAATGTGCTGGAAAACACTGTGTGATTCTGTCCACCAGTCTTTTCCTGGGTTTGTGGATGTCCTCCTTTCTCTCTTCGTCAAACTTCTTTCCACATCTACCTCCTTCTCTTTGAGAACTGCCTTGGAGACCCCAATTTCTCTTCCCTTATCTCCTTCCCAGTTACCCTCTCACTTTTCCTGTGGGTCCTTTTCGACTGGCATCTCCATCCTATACTCTTTGGGCCCACAGCTTCCTCTTTTACAAAACACAGAAATTGAACTTTACAGTGAGGATTATTTTTGCTGACTAGTTGATGAGTTTAAGCAAAAACTGTCACAGAAGTATTCTTAATGTTGAGCTTTAGAGTTTCGCGTTAGTCCAAGTGATGCGATCATAAAAAAAAAATTCATCCAGAAGTGTTAGTTGAGGTGTAAACAAACTGAAGAATACATGTGGATACTTGGCAATATTTGAGAAGGTCATAATGCTAAACCATTTTTGTTACTGTTCTAGAAGTAAATGAAAAGAAGTCTGGAAAAGAAGGGGATGTAAGGTTTCAGAGCATGAGGAGAGAGGATGCTTAGCTACCAGACAGCAGCTAAGATTTGGGAAGAGGCCCCAGCTTCCCAAATCTTGTCCAATACTCTTGAACCTAGGCTCTGCTCCTAGATAGTCTCATAATTCATAGTTGCTCCTCTCAATCCAGTTAACCCCTACAGTGCTCTAACAGCCCACTCTCAGCCAAACACCTCTGACTTCATGGTATTCTAACATCTCCAGGTAGTACCTCCAGACCTTTTCCCTGTGCCCCTGGACTCCAAGGTCTATCCCACCCTCAGCTGTCCATCTTCTAGAGCAGGCGGTCTAGCCTCCCCAAACCAGAAGAACTTCCTTTTTATATTCAACCACCTGATGGATGTCCCTGATCAGTTCCCTCAGCTGCAGAGCACAAGAAGGACCTTCAGGATCCAGCTTTCTGTGAGTACACTGCTCCGTGGATTAGTTAGCTGGTCATAGGTCCAGTGTCCTAGAGCTGAGCTTTTGACTCATCTCATGGTTCTGGGGCCTCCTTTGCCTCTCAAGTTTAAGGACATCCATAATTCATTGGATTTAGGATGACCCAAAACCTTCTCATACTAGTTCACTTTTGCCATCTTCTTCTGTTTCTGAAAGGGAGAAAATCACCAGTTTTAGTGGCTGGATTCAGGGGTTAGGGTACATGGACAAGCAACTTCCCAGCCCTTTTTGGTAGTGTTTTGCTTCTTGTCTTATTTGCAGGTAATGATTGCCAGATAGACAGGAATGGGGTCCAGTTAGTTATATCCAGGACCTTATGATATACCCCATATATACCCCTTTGCTCCTAATTTACAATGTCAAACTATAAAAAATGGTTTCTCTTCCTCTGAGCCAGTCTATAACAGTGGTCAGCATTTATTAAACACATACTACATGCCAGATGAGGTGCTAAAAGCTTTGCAAGCATTATCTTACTATATCCTACGGCAATCCTATGCAGATTTTTTAACCACTATGCTAAATTCCTCCTCCTAAATTAAGTGAAAATGACCAAATTTCTAGACAACTGTTACTTTCTCAGTGCTTATGGGGGTGGGGATGAGGGAAGAACACTGACTTTAAGTGCTCCAGGAGAAACTGATATTACAAATGACACAAGCCTTTAGTGGTCAACTGGTTTGGTAGTTTTCAAACATGTAGGTTTTCTTTCCTTTAGTAGACCACAAAATACAAAACAGAAAAAAACAGAGCTTCTTTGATTGAAGAAGGGTGAGGTGCTAGTGCCTTCCCTGCTATGCCTTCCTCCCCGCTCCCACTCCTCAATAGAAGATTCCAGAGACATCTGCACATTAAGCCTTAAGGATTCCTCAATTTAAAAACCGCTAATTGAGGCCGGGTGCGGTGGCTCACGCCTGTAATCACACCACTTTGGGAGGCTGAGGCGGGCAGATCACAAGGTCAGGAGATTGAGGCCATCTTGGCCAACATAGTGAAATCCCGTCTCTACCAAAAATACAAAAATTAGCTGGGCATGGTGGCGTGCGACTGTAGTCCCGGCTACTCGGGAGGCTGATGCAGGAGAATCGCTTGAACCAGGGAGTCAGAGGTTGCAGTGAGCCGAGATTATGCCACTACACTCCAGCCTGGCGACAGAGTAAGACTCTGTCTCAAAAAGCAAACAAACAAAACTACTAATTGAATCCAACCTTCTCGTTTTATAGGTGATGAGACTGAGGCCAAAGAAGAAGGAAAAAGGAGATGTTCAGGATCACGCAATGATTTGTGGCAAAACCCCAGCTATTAATATAACACCTATACAACTTCTAGACCAGTGCTTTTTCCACTTGAAAGGCCTTGTTATCTGAGTTTTGTTTTTTGTTTTTTTTCTGAGACAGAGTCTCACTCTGTCACCCAGGCTGGAGTGCAGTGACGCGATCTTGGCTCACTACAACCTCCGCCCCCTGGGTTCAAGCGATTCTCCTGCCTCAGCCTCCCTCCCGAGCAGCTGGGACTACAGGCACACGCCACCATGCCCAGCTAATTTTTGTATTTTTGGTAGAGACGGGGTTTCACCATGTTGGTCAGAATGGTCTCGATCTCCTGACCTCGCGATCCGCCTGCCGCGGCCTCCCAAAGTGTTGGGATTACAGGCATAAGCCACCGCGCCCGGCCGTTCTCTGAGTTCTTAAGTGGGCATAATGTCAGTGATGCCAGGGCCATGACTGTAGGCAAGGGCTGGAACTGCATGCCCTTTGGTGCTTTTACCCTTCCAAGTTTATGTCCAGGAATATACATCTCTCCCCAACTGCCTAAGTAGGTGCTAGTTGATATCATGATTGATTTGGTCTTCTTGGGTAAGACCTCAGTTAATTCTGGGTAATTTTTTGTTTGGGGATGAACTGTAGCCATCCACCTATGAAGAAAGTGTTGCTTTTATTCTTTGCTAGGTTCCATCCATACCTGGATGAGGAACAGCAAGAATATTTATTTCCTCATTTCCTTTTTACTAATCTCAATGTCTGGTCCTTCAGAAAAGAAACGAATGGGCTAAAGAGATAACTAGACTGGAAGAGAGGAGAAAAGTGTCAGAGGGGTGTTGGAGTAGGATGGGTTGGAGGAAGGACAGGAACAGCAAAGATGGAGGCTCTTCATGCCGGCCCCAATACCTTTCCATGTCTTCTTTCTCCACCCCGATACCCTCTGATGTCCAGTGCCTGAGGAGCTGGGGCAGTAGGGACATACTGAGATTGCCCTCCAACCCCATAAATCTACATCACTTTTCTATTTTCCTGACTCAAGCTTCCAAAGGCTGGGTTCCGCATCCCCAAAACCCATCTCTGAATCTCCAGGGCCTACCACTGACTGCACAGAACAGGCATTAGCGTATGCTTCAAAAAGACATCCCTGAGGAGCATAATAGTCATACTGTCACCCTCTAGCCTATAGTTTGCGAAGCCCTTTCCAGGCAGGACTTCAGTCGCCCCTCCTTGGATGTCCCTAGGGTTAGGCAGGGCCGAAGCCACTATCCCAACTCTACAAATGAGGAAAAGCCAAGAGCCGTGCTGCAGGCAGCTGGCAGCTGGCAGCAGCACTCTTCCACAGATCTCCTGACGAAGGTCGAGCACTTCTCTGCGTCTCCCACGGCCTCTGGCGCAGAGCCTGCCGGGAGTTGTAGTCCAGTGCCCCGGGAGCTCATATGGACTGGACTACAATGACCAGCGTGCCCCGCGCTCCGCGCCCCCTTCTCTTTCAGCCTCGGGCACGGGGGAGGCTCGGCGGACCTGCTGATTGGGAACCGATATGGCGGCGACTCTGGGCAGCGGGGAGCGCTGGACGGAAGGTACTAGGTCCCCGCCTGAAGGAGGGATAGGGCGGCCTTCGGGAGAGATCAGGGATGAGGATCCTGAAGACGCACAAGGGCTGAGATCCTGGGTCTGAGGTGATGGATAGAGGCCTGTGAAAAGATGCTGAGCCTGAGTAGGGTTGCGGATGGGGTAGGGAAGCTGGGGACCGACCGCGAGCCCAGAGTCACCGGTGACGACTTGTTGCCTCCGGCCCCCAGCCCCGCCCCCGCCCGTGCCCCGCCCAGGGCCCGCAGCTGTCAGGCCCCGCCCATGCCAAGGTGACTGGAGGGCCCGTGGGGTGCTGCGGTCTCTCCGCAGCTTGCTAACCTGGCCCTTATCTTTCGCCTAACTGGGCCACCTGACCTTCAGTCCCTGTTTGATCATGTCGCTCCAGCCGGCATCAGGACCAGCCTTTTCCACCCTACAGTCAGGCAAAAAATATTGATCCAATACCTATTGTGTGCCCCGCCTAATGCTGATTCTGCAGTGGGGATTTGACTGACATGGGTCCCTTAGCTCACAAAACTCGCAGCCCACTGAGAGAGTTTGACGACTGAACAGCCAATTACAAAACGGGCGAATAATACAAAACGCCTGGGCTACACAGCAAGGTCAGGGATTTGGAGAGCACACTTACAAGGTACCTAACGCAGACTGGCTGTCAAGGGAGGTTTCTTGCAGAAAGTGTTACAAATGGTGACAAGAAGGATGCGTCGGAGTTAGCCAGGCCGACTTAGAGGAAGACTGTCCAGGAGCAGTGGGTGGAGGTAGCTGAGGGATGTTAAGCGGAAGAAAGATGTTGTTAAAGCCTTTCTCAGGTCCTCCAGAGAAGACATGAGTGCTCTGCCCCTTTTGACTGTATTGCTTATGACCCTCTTTACATTCTGCAGGTGTTGTTATTGAATCTTCTCCCTTTAAACCAGGGGTATCCAATCTTTTGGCTTCCCTGGACCACATTGGAAGAAGAATTGTCTTGGGCCACACATAAAATACACTAACTGACGACTAAATAACTAACTGATGACAGCTAATGAACTTTAAAAAAATTGCAAAAAAAAATCTCATAATGTTCTTTTTTTTTTTTTTGAGACGGAGTCTCGCTCTATCACCCAGGCTGGAGTGCAGTAGCGCGATCTCGGCTCACTGCAACCTCCGCCTCCCGGGTTCACGCCATTCTCCTGCCTCAGCCTCCCGAGTAGCTGGGACTACAGGCGCCTGCCACCACGCCCGGCTAATTTGTTGTATTTTTAGTAGAGACGGAGTTTCACGGTGTTAGCCAGGATGGTCTCGATCTCCTGACCTCGTGATCCGCCCGCCTTGGCCTCCCAAAGTGCTGGGATTACAGGCGTGAGCCACCGCGCCCGGCCCTCATAATGTTCTAAGAAAGTTTACGAATTTGTATTGAGCTCAAAGCCGTGCTGGGCCACATGCCACCTGTGGGCCGCGGGTTGGACAAGCTTGCATTAAACTAACCTCTTTGTGGTCAGGAGTAGATCTTACCCATCCGCCCTCTTGATCTTCTAGCCAAGTTCCTTGGTATATATTAGTTCTATAATTGTTAGTGTAAAAGAATTGAACTCCTCTCTACTTTAAATTTTAGGGGTGGGAGGCACTGCAACAAAAAATACTATTTTACGAGCAGTGTCTCTTCTGACCACGGACCACAGAGAAACATGTTTATTCAGCTTTGTATGAGTGCTTAAAAGTCAGCATGACGCCTCTAGCCCTGGCCATCATGCTTACCTTCTCATGCTTACGAGCAGCCTCCCAGAGAGGAAAGGCAGGTTGCAAAGTTGATTTTCAGGGTCAGATGGAGACCTAATGGAGGGGCTGTTGTTTGCAGCTTACATTGACGCAGTTAGAAGAAACAAATACCCAGAAGACACACCTCCTGAGAGTCATGACCCCTGTGGCTGCTGTAACTGCATGAAGGCACAAAAGGAAAAGAAGTCTGAGAATGAGTGGACTCAGACCCGGCAGGGTGAGGGGAACTCCACGTATAGTGAGGAACAGCTGCTTGGGGTACAAAGGTGAGCATGTGGTGAGATTAAATGAGTGATTTTATGGAAAGTGCTTAGAAGAGTGCCTGGATGTGCTATGTAAGTATTGACTGATGATAATGATGATGATGATGATAATTGAGGCATACTAGCTTCTTGACCTCAGAGGGAAGACTGAATAGAAGTGGAATATTAGGGTATAACATGAACTGACTACCCTGCTTCTACTTTAAGAGAGGCAGCAGAAACCGACTAGACACAACACACATCTACAGGACATTCTTTCAACAACAACAGAACGATTTTCTTCTTAAGGATACATAGAATATTCTCCAGGATAGACCATATCTTAGGTCATAAAACAAGCCTCAATAAATTTAAAAAGATTGAAATCATACAGTGTATGTTCTCTGAAATCAAAAACAAAGGGAAATTTGAGAAATTCACAAATATGTGGAAATTAAACTACAAGCTCCTAATAAGCAAGCAAGTCACAGAATAAATCACTAGGAAAGCTAGAAAATGCTTTGAGATGAGTGAAAATGAAAACACGACGTACTAAAATGTATAGGATGCAGCTAAAACAGTGCTTAGAAGGAAA
Source organism: Homo sapiens (assembly GCF_000001405.40). Lineage (NCBI taxonomy): Eukaryota > Metazoa > Chordata > Mammalia > Primates > Hominidae > Homo > Homo sapiens. The sequence goes on along the minus strand of NW_021159996.1, from coordinate 27,329 downwards.
TTTATAGCTCTAAATGCTTATTTTTTTAAAAAAGACTCCAAATCAGTAACCTAATCTACCTTAAGGAACTAGACAGCCTGGACAATACAGTGAAACCCCCTCTCTTCCAAAAAATATATATATACAAAAATTAGCTTGGTATGATGGCACCAACCTGTAGTCCCAGCTACTTGAGAGGCTGAGGCAGGAGGATTGCTTGAACCCAGTAGGTTGAAGCTACAGTGAGTCATAATCGCACAGCAGAGCAAGACCCTGTCTCTCAAAAAAAAAAAAAAAAAAAAAAAAGAAAGAGGGATATCCCTACCAATCCAAATACTATGAACAATTGTGTGCCAACAAATTAGATAACCTAGATAAAATCAGCAAATGCCTAGAAAGACACAAATTACTGAAACTGACCCAAGAAAAATGGAGGCCAGGCATGGTGGGTCACACCTGTAATCCCAGAGCTTTGGGGGTGCTGAGGCAGGAGGATTGCTTGAGACCAGGAGTTTGAGACCAGCCTGGGCAACACAGCAATACATTATCTCTAAAAAAAGAAAAAAAAAATACTTGGGCATGGTGGCACATGCCTGTGGTCCCAGCTACTTTGGAGACTGAAGCAGGAGAATCACTTGAGCCTAGGAATCTGAGGTTACAGTAAGCTATGGTAGTGCCACTGCATTGCAGCTTCGGTGACAGAGACCTTATTTCCAAAAAAGAAAAAGAAAAAAAAAAGGAAAACCCAAGTAGACCTACAACAAATAAGGTGATTTAATTAACAATCAAAAAAATTCTAGCTGGACATGGTGACTCATGCCTGTAATCCCATTACTTTGGGAGGCTGAGGTGGGAGGATCACTTGAGCCCAGGAGTTCAAGACCAGCCTGGCCAACATGGCGAAACTTCATTAGTACAATAAAAAACAAACAAAAAGACCCCACAAAAATTAGCCGAGCATGGTGGTGCACACCTGCAGTTCCAGCTGCTCAGGAGGCTGAGGTAGGAGGATTGATGGAGCCAGGAAGGGCGAGGCTACAGTGAGCACCACTGCACTCTAGTCTGGGTGACAGAGGGAGACCTTGTCTGAAAAAAAAAAAAAAAAAAAAAAAAAAACTTCCAATGAAGAAAAGTCCAGGCCCAGCTGGCTTCATTCTTTGAGACCAGTATTAACTCTGTAACCAAAACCAGACAAAAATATCATAAGAAGTCTAAATTATCAACCAATATCCCTTATGGATATAGATTTTAAAATATTCAATAAAATACTAGTAAAACAAATACAGCAATGTAAAAAGTATTATATATTTTCACCAAGTGGGATTTATCCCAGTATTGCAGGATTGTTTAACACACACAAGTCAATCAATGTAACATACCATGTTAATAGAATAAAGGACAAAAATCACACGATCATTTCAATAGGTACAGAAAAAGCATTTAACAAAATCCAACACTCTTTTTTTTTTGAGACGGATTCTTGCTCTGTCACCCAGGCTGGAGTGCAATGCCACGATCTCGGCTCACTGCAACCCCTGCCTCCCAGGTTCAAGCGATTCTCTGGCCTCAGCTTCCTGAGTAGCTGTGACTACAGACGCGCACCACCATGCCTAGCTAATTTTTGTATTTTTAGTAGAGACGGGGTTTCACCATGTTGGCCAGGATGGTCTCGTGACCTTGTGATCTGCCCGCCTCGGCCTCCCAAAGTGCTGGGATTACAGGTGTGAGCCACTGCGCCCAGCCCCAACACTCTTTCATAATAAAAACACTTAACTAGGAATAGAAGGGAACTTCCTCGACCTGATAAAGTCCATCTACAGAAATCCACAGTTAACATCATACTTAAAGGTGAACAACTAGGTGTTTTCCCACCAAGATCAGGAACAAGACAAGTATGTCTGTTCACTCTTGCCACTCTGTTCAACATTGTACTAGAGGGTCAAGCCAGGGCATTTAAGCAAGAAAAAGAAATAAAAGCCATCCAAATTGGAAAGAAGAGTAAAACTACATCCACAGATGACATGATCTTGTAAATGGAAAATCCTAATGAATACACACACACACACACACACAAATACTGTTAGAACTAATAAACAAGTTGGACAAAGTTACAGGATATAAGATCAATATACAAAAATTATCATTTTTCTATATACTAGCAATGAACAATAAAAAAATGAAATTAAGAAAATATAGTTGAGGCTGGGTGTGGTGGCTCATGCCTGTAATTCAAAACTTTGGGAGGCTGAGATAGGAGGATCTCTTGAAGCTAGGAGTTCAAGACGAGCCTGAGCGACATAGCGAGGCCCTGTCTCTACTAAAAATAAAAATTTAGCCAGGTGTGGTGGCATGCACCCAAAATCCCAGCTACTCAGAAGGCTGAGGTAGGTGGATCCCTTGAGCCCAGGAGTTCGAGGCTGAGGTGAGCTATGATCACCCTACTGCAATCCAGCCTGGGTGACAAAGCAAGACCCTGTCTCTATATACAAATAAATAAATAAATAGTTTTAAAAAAGAGATACAGTTGGCCTTTGAACAACACAGGTTTGAGTGGCATCAGTTTGAACCATGGATTTTTATATGTCAATTTTAAAAGATAAATACATTGGAAAAATTTTTTAGATTTGCAACAATTTGAAAAAGTGGCTCACATCTGTAATCTCAGCACTTTAGGAGGCCAAGGCAGGAAGAATACTTGGGCTCAGAAGTTTGAGACCAGCCTGGGCAACACGGCAAAACTCCGTCTCTACTAAAAATACAAAACTAGTCAGGCGTGGTGGCGCACACCTGTAATCCCAGCTACTTGGGAGGCTGAGGCGGGAGAATTGTTTGAACCCAGAAGGCAGAGGTTGCAGTGAGCTGTGATTGTGCCATTGCACTCCAGCCTGGGCAACAAGAGCGAAACTCTGTCTCAAATAATAATCATCATCATCACCATCTCACAAACCATGGAGCATGGACATACCAAAAAATTAAGAAAATTATATGAATGCATAAAATATATCTAGATTCTAGTCTATTTTATCATTTACTATCATAAAATATACACAAATCTATTATAAAAAGTGAAAATCTATCAAAACATATGCTCACAAACACTTGAGACTACATGGTACCATTTGCATTTGAGAAAAATGTAAACATACAGGTGCAGTATTAATCACACCTGCATAAAATTAACAGTAGTACTGTACTACTGTAATAATTTTGTAGTTAGCTCCTGTTATTTTGCTGAGCCTCAAGTATTGGGAGTATCTGCTTAAAATGCCACATGATGCTAATCATCTCTTTGTGAGCAGTTTGTCTCTTGAGTAAATTATGTATAGCAGTAAAAAGTGATCTCTTGCAGTTCTCCAGTTTTGTTTTTTTTTTTTTTTGAGATGGAGTTTTGCTCTTGTCGCCCAAGCCGGAGTGCAGTGGCACGATCTTGGCTCACTGCAACCTCCACCTCCCAGGTTCAAGCGATTGTCCTGCCTCAGCCTCCCAAGTAGCTGGGATTACAGGCGCCCACCATCATGCCCAGCTAATTTTTGTATTTTTAGTAGAGATGGGGTTTCACCATGTTAGCCAGGCTGGTCTTAAACTCCTGGCCTTGTGATCCACCTGCACTTAATGCCAGCAGGTAAGAAAACATTGCACTTTTTGCAAAATACCTTTTCATCTCATATTGAAAATGAAGCTTTTATATGGGTGCAGGACTGCTATAAGAAAGGCATACAGTCCATGATGTGATTATTACTTATCGCATGCCTGAGCTCAAGGCTTCCACTCACCTCAGTCTCTCAAAGTGCTGGGATTACAGGTGTGAACCCTGCGGCCAGCCCTACCTCATCAACTTTTTAGTGCAGACAAAAGTGCCCTATTCTGGAAAAGAAATGTCACAAAGGACATTGTACTAGTAAGGATGAGAAGTGAGCATCAGGATATAAGGCAGGAAGGGATAGGCTAACTCTGCTATTTTGTGCAAATGCAGTTCAGTTTATGATGGGGGCTGCCATTATATATAAAGTTGCTAACCCCTGAGCCTTGAATGGAAAAGATGAACACCAGCTGCCAGCCTTTTGGTTGTACAGCAAGAAGGCCTGGGCACTGAGAGCCCTTTTTCTGGACTGGCTCCATTGATATTTTCTTCGTGAAGTCAGGAAGTACTTTGCCATTAAGGGACTGCCTTTAAAAAGTTCTTTTGGATTAACTCAGGGTTATGGTGCATGCCTGTAGTCTCAGCTACTTGGGAGGCTGAGGCAGGAGAATTACTTGAGCCCAGGAGTTGGAGGCTGCAGTGAGCTATGATCGTGCCACTGCACTCCAGCCTGGGTGACAGGGACCCTACCCTGTCTCTAAAAAAAAATAAAGTTCTGTGGCCAGGCGCGGTGGCTCACGCCTGTAATCCCAGCACTTTGGGAGGCCAAGGCAGGTGGATCACAAGGTCAGGAGTTCAAGACCATCCTGGCCAACATGGTGAAACCCCGTCTCTACTAAAAATACAAAAATTAGCTGGGTGTGGTGGCAGGTGCCTATAATCCCAGCTACTCGGGAGTCTGAGGCAGGAGAATTGCTTGAACCTGGGAGGAGGAGGTTGCAGTGAGTCGAAAACATGCCATCGCACTCCAGCCTAGATGACAAGAGTGAAACTCTATCTCAAAAAAAAAAAAAGAATGTGAAAAGTCAACCCACAGAATGGGAGAAAACATTTAAAAACTGTATATCTGATAAGGGACTTTATCTGGAACGTACAAAGTTCTCTTAAAACTCAACAATAAGAAGACAAATAACCCAATTGGAAAAATGGGCAAAGGGTCTGAATAGGCATTCCTCCTATATATTCCTCCATATATGAATAAAGAAGATATATATATGGTTAGTAAGCATATGTAAACTTGTTCAACATCTTTAGTCATTAGGGAAATGCAAATCAAAACCACAATGAGATATACCCACTGGAATGTCTATAGTCAAAAAGGTGGATGATAAGTGTTTATAAAGAAGCAGATAAATTGGAACCTTTGTACATTGCTGGTAGGAATGCAGCCAGTTTGGAAAACAATATGGCAATTCCTCTTAAGGTTCAGAAGAAAATTAAGATTATTGACCTAGCAATCTACTCCTAGTATATTCCAAGAGAAATATAAATATACTTCCACAAAAAAACTTGTACATGAATGTCCATAGCAATATTATTCATAACGACCCCAAAGGGGAAACAACCCAATGTCCATTAACTGATAATGGACAAGCAACATGGTGTATATCCATACAATGAAATACTATTTTGTAACAAAAAGGGATGAACAGATTCATGCTACAACATGGATGAACCTTGAAAAAATTACAGTAAGTGAAAGAAGCCAGATACAAAAAGCTACATGTTATATAACTCCTTTTATGTAAAATATTCAGAATAAGCAAATCTATAGAGGGGAAAGTAGATTAGTGGGTCCCAGGGGCTGGGGGAGAAGTGGGAGTGACTACTAAGGAGTATAGAGTTTCTTTTTGGGGTGATAAAAATGTCCTGAAATGAGATAGTGGTGATAGATGCACACCTCTAAAAATGTATTTAAAAACTAATGAATTGTACATTTTAAAAGGGTGAACTTTATGGTACGTGGATTATTTCTCAATAAAGCATTATTAAACAAATAGTAAATTTAGGAGAGGGAGTCCTGAGTGTCTGCCATGGAAGCAGAGATTGGAAACTGGGCTGGGGATTCAAAGACTCCCCATGGGCAGCTCATGTGGAAGGGATCTGCTGACAGCCCAGACCCTGCATTAGAGTCCAACCTGTGTTACTGACTTACGATGAATTTCCCAACGAAGCTCCGAATCTCTGCCTGCCTTACTGAATTATATAGTAGCAAAAGACTGAAGACCTTCTCAATACAAATTAGTAGGTAATGTATATATTATACATTGATACAATGCAATAATATTTAGATTTTAAAAAGAATGAGGTAGGCCAGGCGTGGTGGCTCATGCCTGTAATCCCAGCACTTTAGGAGGCCAAGGCAGGTGGATCACTTGAGGTCAAGAGTTCGAGACCAGCCTGGCCAATACAGTGAAACCCTGTCTCTACTAAAAATACAAAAAACTAGCTGGGTGTGGTGATGCAAGCCTGTAGTCACAGCTACTCGGGAGGCTGAGGCAGGAGAATCACTTGAACCCAGAAGGCAGAGGTTGCAGTGAGCCAGGATCGCGCCACTGCACTCCAGCCTGGGCTCTGTCTCAAAAAAAAAAAAAAGAGGTAGATATATAGTACTAGGTAATATTTATTTAGTATTAAATGCTCTCAAGCACTTTGATGAAGACTTTATTTAATCACAATATCAACTCTGTGAAATATAATTATTAGCCCATTTCAGAAGATAACACCAAGCTATAGAGGTTAAGTACACAGCAAAATCAAAGCTAAACCAAGGCATTTTGACTCCAGAGCTCATCTCTAATCCAGCAGTTCTCAAAGGGTGGTTGGGGAACCCCAAGACCCTTTTAGGGGATAGGTCTGCAAGTTTAAAACTGTAGTCATAATGATATAAACATGTTACTTGTCTTTTTCACTAATTTTCTCATGATTATACAGTGGAGTTTTTGAGAGGCTACATGACATGTAATTACATCATCACTGTTTAAAAATTTTTTGTTTTCATTTCTGGTATAGTAGATGTGGATTGATAGAAGTCATATAAATGAAAGCTCTTTTGAGGTCTTCAGTAATTTTTTTTCGCTTCCTGTACCATGCATATCAGTAATTTTTAAGAGTATAAAACGTTGCTGAGATCAAAAGTTCAGAACTGCCACTCTAATCTAAACTACTGTCTAGTCTAAACTATTATTCTATACTTCTCATCTCTATATGTTAAGGATTGATCTCCAAGATAAATTGTTTTTTGTTTGTTTTTTAGAGACAGGATCATGCTCTGTTGCCCAGGCTAGAGTGTAGTGGAACAATCATAACTCACTGCAGCCTCAAACTCCTGGGCTTAAGTGATCCACCTGCCTTGGCCTCCTGAGTAGCTGGAATTCCAGATGCAAGGCACCATGCCTGGCTAACTTTTTAAAATTTTTCATAGAGATAGGGTCTTACCATCCTGCCCAGGCTGGCCTCAAGCTCTTCACCTCAAGCAGTCCTCCTGCCTCAGCCTCCCAAAGCACTGGTATTACAAGAGTGAGCCACCACGCCCAGCCCAAAATAATTTTTTTTTAAAGCAAGATGTAGAAAAGTGATTATAATATGTTTCCATTTAGGCAAGAAAAAAAATGGAGAGGACTATACCTGTACTCTCTGTACATAGGATCCACAGAAAACTTCTAATGATGGTTATCCCTGTGGTGGGAAACTGGGGGACAGGGAATGATGAAGCAGGAAAATTTTTACTGTATAAACTTTAGTTCTGTTGGCTCTTTTTCTTCTATCATGTGTATGTTAACTTTTTAAAAACACAGTTTAGCCAGGCACGGTGGCTCACACCTGTAATCCCAGCACTTTGGGAGGCCAAGGTGGGCAGATCACAAGGTCAGGAGTTTGAGACCAGCCTAACCAATATGGTGAAACCCCATCTCTACTAAAAATACCAACATTAGCCAGGGCTGGTGGCGCATCCCTGTAATCTCAGCTACTCGGGAGGCTGAGGCAGGAGAATTGCTTGAACCTGGGAGGCAGAGGTTGCAGTGAGCTGAGATCGCGCCATTGCACTCCAGCCCAGGCAACAAGAGCAAGACTACGTCTCAAAAAAAAAAAAAAAAAAAAGCAAAAAATACAGTTTAAAAAGATAGCCATAGGAAAAAGAGAGAAAAAATTATAAACAAACAGGGTGATTAACTGTTTCTTCTGGCTTTGCTGTCCTGTAGTTCATCTCTCAGGATCTTAGCCTGAACCTTGGTGTAACAATTAGCATACTTGTTCTACTCACTTGCAGGGATATAGGAAGAGTAAATAGTAGATGTAAAAGTACTTTGAAAGGCATTAAGTTCTGGGTGGGAGAAGGACATTGTTAATGAATTTGAATGTTTCATTAACGTGTGCACTAATTTTCTTATAGGTTTGTTTTGGGTCCCACAGATTGGAGGTAGGATCGATGTATTATCTTGCAATTAGTTGTACAAAAGGGACCTTTATAGACATACATGCTTGTGATTTTTTTTAGGATCAAGAAATGCAGAAATTACTATGAAATTCTGGGAGTTTCTCGAGATGCTAGTGACGAAGAGCTTAAGAAAGCTTACAGAAAACTCGCCCTGAAATTTCACCCTGACAAGAACTGTGCTCCTGGAGCAACAGATGCTTTCAAAGGTCTGATCCTGAACCAATGCTCAATGGTGCCCTTGTCATGGTTGGTCATAATAAGTTGCTTTTAGCCTTCCCCATAGTTGTTTTATAAGGCCATAAGGAGGGTTTTTTCCCCCTGCCACACCTCTTAAATAGTGATAATCAGCATAGCTCCCACTTGATTTTACCTAGGCTGGAGTGCAGTGGTGACATCTCAGCTCACTGCAACCTCCACCTCCCGGGCTCAAGTGATCCTCCCACCTCAGCCTCCTGAGTAGCTGGGACTACAGGTGAGCACCACCATGCCCGGCTAATTTTTGTATGTTTTGTGGAGATGGGGTTTTGCCATGTTGCTCTGGCTGATCTCAAACTCCTGAGCTCAAGTAATCTGCCCGCCTAGGCCTTCCAAAGTGCTGATATTACAGGCGTGAGCCACTGTGCCCATCCTCCATGATATTTTAAGAAATATATTCTTCAGGCTGAGCGCAGTGGCTCACACCTGTAATCCTAGCACTTTGGGAGGCTGAGGTGGGAGGATTGCTTGAGCCAGAGGTCAAGGCTGCAGTGAGCTGTGATTGCACCACTGCACTCCAAGTCATTGTTACAGGCAAAGATCTTCAGTGAATGCTAAAACCATTGAGTGCTAGGTAGTTGTCGCCTATGGGGTATTCTTGCCAAAATGTTTGACCTGAATCTAATAATGAGGAAACAATCAATATGAAACATTCTACAAGAATACTGATCTGTTCTTCCAAAAAATTTAACATAATGAAAAACAAAAAAGGTGGGACAGTTTTAGCTTAAAAGAAACTAAATGCTATACTTGATCTTGCATGGATGCATTGGATGATAATGGACTGATGTTAATTTTCTTAGCTGTGATAATGGTGTTGTGATCACATAGGAGAATGTCTTTCTTCTTGGGAGATATATGTTGAGGTATTTAGGGGCAAGGTGACGTAATATCTGTGGCCTATTTTCAAATGGTTCAGCAAAATAAATGTATAATTATTACAATACATATGTACATATGTATATATAGAGTTGTAGGTAACAGAGTGGCAAGGCAAACATTTAACAATTCCCCAGGTAAAAGAATCATGAAGAAATACTCTTTCTGTGTTTCTGACAGTGTTGACTGAATTACAGGTAGGGAGTGCGGGATGCCTTAAAAGATTTCTTTTTTTTGAGGTTTCTATTGATTGGTGCTACGGATTGTATGTTTAAATGAAATTGGGCAAGGTTTGCACGTCTGTACATAGAAAGGAGACATGTTGGTAAACATATGTAACTATTCAGCCTTTGAACCCTCCTTGAGACATTGGAAATACATTTCTTAATTTCAGAAAATATTTGTCTAAAGTAAACTGAAATAAGACTATGATGAAGACTTTGTTTTTAGTCAAGCAGGAAGGTTTCTACTAAGATTGTTTCAGAAGAGAATTCAGGAAATTTTTTGGACTACAAGTTAAAATATCACTACTGATGTGTGAACTGTTTCCAACATAAACTATTGCACTCAAGTGAAATAAGAACACTTTTTTGGCCAGATGCAGGGCTCACACCTATAATCCCAAACTTTTGGAGGCCAAGGTGAGAGGATCACTAGAGGCCAGGAATCTGAGACTAGTCTGGGCAATGCAGCAAGACCCTATCTCTAAAAAAATTTTTTTTAAAGTAAAGAGCACTCTTTGTGTGTGTGTGTGTGTGACAAAGTCTCACTCTGTTGCCCAGCCTGGAAGGCAGTGGCATGATCTCGGCTCACTGCAACCTCCCAAAGTGCTGGGATTATAGGCATGAGCCACTGCACCTGGCCAGAACACATTTTTTATGAATGAGAGTGCTGACCAGTTGGAGAACATTTCCCCAACATGCCTGGGACTTGTGGTGACTGGGAACCCGAACTGAGGGGGGCTTCCTAACTTCTAGGACAGCTGGGATGACTACAGGACTGTTGATTGGGAGTTAACTCACTGCAGCAGAAGTTCTTAATTCCTGTGATTCCAATGTTGTTGTTTCTGGCGATCAGGGAAAACCTGAAGGGCAAGCACTGTGGAGAACTTTCTAGGCCCAAGCATCTCTTCTTGGGCCCCTGCGAAGTTGTCCAGCACGAGTCACCTCTAGGCTCTTTGTCACTGCTGCTGTGATCACTCTCAGCCATAGCAAAGACTGTGTCCTCATGTGCTGGTTCTTGTTGGTTGCAGCAATAGGAAATGCATTTGCAGTCCTGAGCAATCCTGATAAGAGACTTCGCTATGATGAATACGGAGATGAACAGGTGACTTTCACTGCCCCTCGAGCCAGACCTTATAATTATTACAGGGATTTTGAAGCTGACATCACTCCAGAAGAGCTGTTCAACGTCTTCTTTGGAGGACATTTTCCTACAGGTTAGTCTCCCCAAATTATCATTCTTAAACATATTTCTTTATTTATGGCTCTCAGCAAGCTCCTGTTTGAAAATCTGAATAGAGGTACAATGGTATGATGGAAACAGCAAGGATCTAGAATCAGTTGAGCAGGAGTTTGAGGCAAGTCTCCAGCCCCCAGCTGTGCATAATTTTGACCAAATCATTTAGTCTCTCTGACCCTGTTTCCTCTCCTGAAAAATGGGGCTGTTAATAATACCTACTTCACAGGGTCACTGTGAGGATTAGATATTTTTAAGTGCCTTATAAATAAGTAACAAAATGCCTATTATTGTTGTGTAAAATAGCACTTACAAAGATAGAAGATAGGAAAGTACCCCCCAGCAAGTTGGAAGTTGGTATAATTCAATGCCCAGGAAGTAAATTGAATTTTATGAGTTGCTATTAAAAGATACCAGTGACACAATATGGTATTGGGCACGGAAGCAGACGTGAACATGCCAGATAGGATTCACGGCCCTAATGCTCTCTCTCTTCTAGCCTTTCGGGGTTCTCTCTCACTAGTTGCAAAGGACTATTTAAATGAAGTCAGGAGAGCTCAGCACGCTTTAGCTCCAGCTGGTTCACTTGGCTTGCCTATTGTCTTATTTTTCTACTGGGTAAAATAGGCCAATACTCTATCCTTAACAAACCTAGCTGGGAACAAGGACCTTGAAAAAGGCAAGGAAGGGTCAGGCGCGGTAGCTTACGCCTGTAATCCCAACACTTTGGGAGGCCAAGGTAGGTGGATCACTTGAGTTCAAGAGTTCGAGACCAGCCTGGCCAACATGGTGAAACCCCATCTCTACTAAAAATACAAAAGTTAGCCAGGCATGGTGGCGGGTGCCTGTAATCCCAGCTACTGAGGATGCTGAGGCAGGAGAATCGCTTGAACCCAGGAAGCAGAGGTTGCAGTGAGCCGAGATCACCCCATTGCACTCCAGTCTGGGTAACAGAGCAAAACTCCATCTCCAAAAAAAAAAGAAAAAGGCAGGGAAGGAGTGTTTGCCATATCCCATACCATGTATTTCTTTTCCAGGAAATATTCATATGTTTTCAAATGTGACAGATGACACTTACTATTACCGTCGACGGCACCGACATGAGAGGACACAGACTCAGAAGGAGGAGGAAGAAGAGAAACCTCAGGTACCTAGGGAGGGAGGAGCACTGCTGCCCATAAACAGTTGTACTTGGCCAACCTTGATGGTACATGGTCAAGTTTTAGAAGTTGAACCTGAGATATGTTGCTTTAGGAAAGATGTGCTTTAGGAAAGCAAAAGCAATGGTTAGAAGAGCTGGAAAATTGGCCTAAATAGGCAGAATGGTATCCCCTCCCTCTGCCCATTCTTGGGTGGCTCTCCCAGAATCTCAGCAATCTGTGGGGCTGACTTCATCAAGGCTTTTTTTTTTTTTTTTTTTTTTTTTTTTTTTTTGAGAGAGGGTCTCACTGTCACTCAGGCCGGAGTACAATAGTAGAAACACAGCTCACTACAGCCTCAAACTCCAGGGCTCAACCAATCCTCCCACCTCAGCCTCTCATGTAGCTGGGACTATAGGTGCGTGCCACCATGCCCAGCTCATTTTTTGTAGAGATTATTTCTCACCATGTTTCCCAGGCTGGTCACAAACTCCTGGGCTCAAGTGATCCTCCTGCCTTGGCTTCCCAAAGTGCTAGGATTACAGGCATGAGCCACCGCTCCGGCTTCATAATTTTCTTGGCTGCAGAAAATAGGAATCCTCTTCAAAATATTTAGAACTAAAGGGGGTTTAAGGTAAGGGATCAAAAGAGTCTCATGAAGCTCAAGGACAAGAAGCACAGCTGGGCCTCATGACAGACAGGAACAAGGAACTGGGATACTGTCAGGCTCCCAAGCAGCTGTGCTCTGCAGGACTCTTTGGGCCCAGATTGTCTCCAGTTTTCCTGCCACTCTTTGCCTCTGTTTTGTTTTCACCAAGCAGCTTTGCTTGTTCTACTTCCCCTTGCAAATAGCCAGTCTACAGTGCCTGAGAGTGTGTGTTCTTCCTTAAAGTGATGACCCAGAAGTGAAGGGTGATGAGTTTCAACCCCAAATTCCTAGGAGAGAAAACGTGATTACCTCTGCCAGAGTTGGATGTCCCCTGAGTCCAATCAGCTGTGGCCAAGCATGATGCTAACCTGGCTCCTAGAGCCCCACTACTGTAAGAGGCACAGTCTGGGCAGGTTTACCTAGAGATGTTTGCTTCATTGGTCTTATTAATGGGGCTGCAGGGGGATTACTGGGTGTCAATCCAGGTTGTTGTTGGACCTCCTTCAGCCTGCTCAGCAGAGAGAGTAAAGGTTATTTGGTATAGATTGAGTATCCCTTATCTGAAGTAAATTGGACCAGTAGTATTTCAGATTTCAGATTTTTTTTTTTTTTTGGATTTTGGAAATTTGCATTATACCATTATATATTTGACAATTCCTAATCTGAAAATCTGAGGCTGGGTGCTATGGCTCACACCTGTAATCCTAACACTTTGGGGGAACTGAGGCAGGAGAATTGCTTGAGCCTAGGAGTTTGAGATTAGCCTGGGCAACATGGCAAGACCTTGTCTCTACAAAAATTTAAAAATTAGCTGGACACGGTGGTGTGCACCTGTGGTCCCAGCTTCTCAGGAGGCTGAGGCGAGAGAATCATCAGAACCCAGGAGGTCAAGGCTGCAGTGAGCCATGTTTGTGTCACTGTACTCTAGCCTGGGTGACAGAGCAAGACCATGTCTCAGAAAAAAAAAAAAAAAGGAAATCCAAAATGCTCCAATGAGCATTTCCTTTAAGTGTCATCCTGGTACTCAAAAAGTTCTAGATTTTGGAGCATTTGTGATTTTGAATTTTCTGATTAGGACTGCCCAACCTGTACTTCTCAGCTGAAAGTACAGCCTTCCCAGAAAAGCCTGGGGCTTTGTGGATCCTCCTATGCAGTGCATTGATAATTTGTTATTTTCTTTGGAGCAACTATCTTATTTTCAATAAGCTTTATATTGATAAAGAACACTTACAGGCCAGGCGCAGTGGCTCACACCTGTAATCCCAGCACTCTGGGAGGCCGAGGTGGGCAGATCACGAGGTCAGGAGATCGAGACCATCCTGGCTGCGGTGAAACCCTGTCTCTACTAAAAATACAAAAACTAAGCCGGGCGTGGTGGCGGGTGCCTGTAGTCCCAGCTACTCGGGAGGCTGAGGCAGGAGAATGGCGTGAACCCGAGAGGCGGAGCTTGCAGTGAGCCGAGATCGCACCACTGCACTCCAGCCTGGGCGACAGAAAAAAAAAAAAGAACACTTACAGCAAGTTTTTATTTTTTTTTCTTTTTCAGACTACATATTCTGCATTTATTCAGCTACTTCCAGTTCTTGTGATTGTGATTATATCTGTCATTACTCAGCTGCTGGCTACTAATCCCCCATATAGTCTGTTCTATAAATCGTAAGTCTGGTATTTCTAAATCTTTCTCAGTAACAGTCTGGGGGTGAAAGACTTGAAGGTTTTGCTGATACATTACTAACATTTCATTTCACCTTTTGCTGTAGAAAACACCGATTTGATGTTTAAAGGAACAGCTGGGTAGTCATGGTGCTGAGACTCAAAAATACTGAGGCAGTCTCCTGTGTGCCTCGGGAAATAGATTGTCTTGTTCTATAGTGACATCATCTGGTCAGCTGCAGAACAGCAGTAACTGGTTTTTGAAGGATCAGTAGAATTTAAGGTTTAGATGAACTCATTATCACACCATGGTAGAGTTAGAAAGACTCTGTTAAGCTGTTGATAGGATTGCTGGACCCTGTGGGTCTCGGAGCATAGTATTAATAATGGGGATCAAGTGATTATTTTCAATTTTTTTGTTTTTGTTGAAAATAGAGAAATTCCTTGTAATGCTTTTTGCGTATAGATTATAAACTCTGATAGGATTTTTAAAAATTTCTTCAATTAATTCTTTCAGTTGATTCAGTTCCCAAAGTTTGGTCCCCAGACCAGCCATCGTCAGCATCAACAGGCAACATGTTAGAAAGGCAGATTCTAGGGCCCCTCCATATCCATTGAATTAGAGGCTCTGGGGGTAGGACCAGAAGTCTGAGTTTTAAAAAACCCTCTAGATTATTCTGGTCCACACTGAAGTTTGAGAATCACTAGATTATCTTTTTTGTTAATAATGAATAATAAATTATTATTCATTATTATAATTTAGTGGGAAAAAAACCTTTTAAAAGTAGAATTTATTAGACAATATATAACAGGAAGAGTCTTTGTCAGTGATCACTGTAGACAAGACCATCATTCCAGGTCAATCCAGGTCAGTATTTCCTTTTTTGTTTGTTTTTGTTTTTTGAGACAGAGTCTCACTCTGTCGCCTGGGCTGGAGTGCAGTGGTGCAATCTGGGCTCACTTCAACCTCCACATCCCTGGTTCAAGGAATTCATGTGCCTCAGCCTCCTGAGTAGCTGGAATTACAGGCGGCACGCACCACCACACCCGGATAATTTTTATATTTTAGTAGAGACAGGGTTTCACTATGTTGGCCAGGCTGGTCTCAAACTCCTAACCTCAGGTGATCTGCCCACCTTGGCCTCCCAAAGTGCTGGGATTACAGGCATGAGCCATCGCGCCCGGCTAGTATTTTCCTTTTACAGAGAGCGAAGCTGAGGCTGAAAGAGAGGTTTCTTTTTATTGTTTTTGTTTTCGAAGCAGTCTTGCTCTGTCACCCAGGCTCCCAGGCTGAAGTGCAGTGGTGCAATCTTGGCTCACTGTAATCCCCTTCTCCCAGGTTCAAGCGATTCTCATGCCTCAGCCTCCTGAGTAGCTGGGATTATAAGCATGTGCCACCACACCTGGCTAATTTTTGTATTTTTTAGTAGAGACTGGGTTTCACCATGTTGGCTGGGCTGGTCTCGAACGCCTGACCTCCACCTTTCTTGGCCTCCCAAAGTGCTGGGATTACCGTCATGAGCCACTGCACCTAGCCTTCATAGAGAGGTTTTTGCCATCAGGCCACACTGGCCTGATTCCCTCTGTTTCCCAGCTTCTCATGTTTTTCCATATGGCACTTTAGCTTTCTTTCTTGTGAGGCCAGCGGGGTAAGCACGGACCTGCTCTGTAAGCTCCCCCAAAACCTTAGAGTGAGGGGAGAGCAGTCATGGCTTCAGCTCTTACTCTAATTAGAGAGGATCAAAGGAGAGGGCCGGAAAAAGGCCAAATAAAATATAGCCCCTTTAATGTAGAATTTGTCCAGTTTGAAGAAAACCATTTCTGTCACATTGTTTTAACTTGAGTTTGAGGTCCCTTCTATGTTTCCTTATGGTTAGAATTAGTCAGCTCAGTACTCTTATTAATGTTGCTAAGCACCAGATACCTTTGGATGTCTTGGACCCACAGAGAGTTAGCTCTAAAGCATCATTGAAATCTTTTGTCTGAGTTTCTTGCAGTTCTCAGTTAGCAGCTATGTGCGAAGTACTTTTTATCATGTCCAAAATATTGCTTCTAGGTTGGTGTGAGCTATCTGTTTTTTTTGTAAATAATTTGCTATATAACATAATCAGTTCATTCAACCAGCATTTATAATAGCCTACTCTGTCAGGTACCATACTAGATCCTACACAACGTAAAAATTGTTTGTTTTAAGCATTCAGCATTCTACTTTTAGCACAGAGAGCAGTATAAGAGAGGTGAGTCCTTTAAGAGAATAAACTATGCTGAAGCTGAATTCATAGTATGAACTTGCTTACATAATACAATTATGATGATGTTATACTTACAACTTTGCTAGGGAAATAAGAAGTGTTGGGTATATTAGAAAATGATATCTGCCTCTGCTCTATGAGCAGATGATGATGATGATATCTGTGAGGGCAGTGCTAAGAGTAATATTGCCAAATATTATGAGCTCACATGAGCCTCTCTCTCCTTGTTTCAGGACCTTGGGCTACACCATTTCTAGAGAAACTCAGAACCTGCAGGTGCCTTACTTTGTGGATAAAAACTTTGACAAGGCCTACAGAGGAGCTTCTCTGCATGACTTGGAGAAAACAATAGAGAAGGATTACATTGATTATATCCAGACTAGTTGTTGGAAGGAGAAACAACAAAGTAAGATACTGTAAAAGGGGCATTAGCTGGTGGCTGTGGTTCCCAGCAGGAGGCACCCCCAGCCTCCTGATCCCTCCTCTCTTCTTGTTTGAGGCTACGCATGTTTATGTGAACAGAGTCAGAGGACAAAGGCCATTCAGGATACTATAAAAAAGTAGGGGAAATTTATTGACAGGATACATGTGGCCAGGACTTGGAAATCTTAGGAATTTAGGCGGCACTAGTCACCTGTCTGTATGTCTGTCTCTCTTTGAGTCTCTACCTCTCTCTGCCAATCTGCCCCCTCTCCTCTCCCCACCAGCTGCCTTCCTTTCTTTCTTCCAGCTTCCCTTTTGCATAACCTTGTTTGCCATGGTTTACAGTGGTTGCCACCCTGCTTATCACTCTCTCAAATTCCCCAGTCTCACCAGTCAGTGCCCCTTTCTGCAGCACACACGTCTGTAAGTTCTTGGTGCTCGCTGATTTGGTCCACAGTTTCCCAATTCCACACTCCCTAGAGGGAAATCTGATCGAGCCAGCCTAACTTTTTGAAACAGAACAAAGGTTTAGAGGTTTCTGGTATGGAATGAGGTGTCCCCTACCCTCACCTCCAGCTGGTTGTGGCCACACAGAACAAAAGCGACCCCTTGGGTCTGCCCCTTTGGGTGTGGCAGGCCTTCCCCCCTATTTCCCTCTCTGGAGACAGTGGGGATGATAGCATCTGCCACTGGCTTACAGCTCCAGCAAGTGTTACTAGGAGTGTCTGCAGCAGGGGTAGCCCCGTCTCAGCCAACAGCTTCACCTTTGGTCCCACTTGAATTCTACACACACATACCGCGTTAGTGACTGTGTCTTCTAAAACTTGGTTTTGATTATTTTTATTTTCTTTTTTATTTTTCAGGAGGTACCCTTTTAACTGAAGTTTTGGCTCATGTTTAAAAAGCAAATTCTGACTCATTTCTAAAGCCTTATTACTGAGTATCATTAAATACCTAATGGAGTCTGATAAAATTAGCTCTTCAGTCACAGTGCTGCTAAGCCCTCATTGACCATCACACACTCCCAACCCCGCCCTCAAGTTAAGCTCTCCTTCCTCTGTGTTCTTAAAGCACTTTGTTCAGCCTGCTAACATAGTACCAATCACACAGTGTTAGAGTTCCAGGGATATATGTCAGTCTCCCCTGCAAGACTATGGACTGTCTGGGAATAAGAACTTGGTCTTACTAATTTTGTGTCCCAGGGTTCTGGCACAGTCCTTGCTTCAGAACAAGTGCTCAACAAATGTCTTTTGAAGAGAGGATTCTCAGGAGTAGAAAACAATGAAAATGCTGAGGATTGTGAATAACAACAGCAGGGTTAGTGTCCTAGCTCACCCTTAGGGACCTGGTCTCTGCCCCCTATTTCTGTACGGCAAAGTCCTAATGTTCTCTCAAGGTGCATTAGGAAGTTGGTGAGCAATGACTCTGGGATATAAGAGGAAATTAAACAGGAAGAGGAAATTCCAATTTATTGAAAAACACTGAGGATTCAGGAAATACTCTACCCCATTGCTAAACTAGATTTTACAAGAATCAAAAATCAGGAAAGAATTTTAGAGCAGGATAAAGGCCTCATATTAAAAGGCAGTATATAGGCCAGGCATGGTAGCTCATGCCTATAGTCCTAGCACTTTGGGAGGCCGAGGCAGGAGGATCACTTGAGTCCAGGAGTTTGAGACCAGCCTGGGAACCCCATCTCTAGAAAAAGTATAAAAATAAGCCAGGTGTGGCAGCACATGCCTGTGGTTTCAGCTACTCAGGAGGTCGAGCCTGGGAGATCAAGGCTGCAGTGAGCTGTGATCACTCCACTGCACTCCAGCCTGGGCCACAGAGCGAGATCCTGTCTCAATAAAAAGGCAGTATATACATGGATCCAAATCAGGTGAAAGCCAGTGTATGTCCTGAAAATCCCCATTGTCTGGGTCCTGGGAGGGCTTTGACTTTGTTGCTTTCTGCAAGAACTGGATGAAAATCTGCATTTCACATTCTTCAAACACCCGCCTGCCCCACATCTTCCTCTGTGGCAGTAAGATGCTGGAATTATACAAAGAGCTCATGGTAAGGATTGCACCAGAGGTAGTTTCTCAGCTTTTGTCCCCATCCCCATGAGGCCTAGTTCAGAGCTTCGGCACTCTCCAGGTATAAATAAAAATCCAGTGAGTGGCCAGGTGTGGTGGCTCATGCCTGTAATCCCAGCACTTTGGGAGGCCAAGGAGGATGGATCACCTGAGGTCCGGAGTTCGAGACCAACCTGGCCAACATGGCGAAACCCCTTCTCTACTAAAAATACAAAAATTAGCTGGGTGTGGTGGTGCGCACCTGTAATTCCAGCTACTTGGGAGGCTGAGGCAGGAGAATCTCTTGAACCCGGGAGGCGGAGGTTGCAGTCTGCTGAGATCGTGCCACTGCACTTCAGCCTGGGTGACAGAGCGAGACTCCATCTAAAAAAAAAAAAAAAAAAAAAAAATCCAGTGAGTAAGCATGATGCGTGTACCCACAAGTTCCAAATGGCAGTTATCAGCACAAACCCCTTAAAAATCTATTTCTGGCATTTAAGTACAGCGGCTATGCAGAGCCTCCACACAACCCAAGTGCCATTTGAGAACAAGCAGCATCTGCCCTCCGAATCCAGCAGCAAGTGCAGCCAACAAGGTTAAATTTAGCACTTGGAGGTTGTAAAAATAAACCCACTTGAGAACAAAGTTCACTCTTGGCAAAATACCAAATGCAAACTGTTTTTAGCAAGGTTAGCCATTGACTTTTTAAATCTTTGTTTGGTTCATTTATTTTTCTCTGCTCTTCCTTAGAATGTTTAATCTGGGTGAAAATTTTTTTTTTTTTTTTTTTTGACAGAGTCTCGCTCTCTCGCTCAGGCTGGAGTGCAGTCATGCAATCTCGGCGCACTGCAACCTCCACCTCCCAGGTTCAAGCGATTCTCCTGCCTCAGCCTCCTGAGTAGTTGGGACTATAGGTGCATGCCACCGTGCCTGGCTAATTTTTGTAGTTTTTAGTAGAGACGGGGTTTCAAGGATGTTGGTCAGGCTGGTCTCGAACTCCTGACCTCAGGTAATCCGCCCACCTCGGCCTCCGAAGTGCTGGGATTACAGGCGTGAGCCACCACACCCGGCCAATCTGGGCAAACCTTTATGAGTAATCCCTTACTATAAACACTAATTGTCCTGTTTACTTCTTCGCAGCTGCATCTAGATAGTAAGCCTGATGCCAGGGCAAGTGGCCACACCACTAGGCTGGGCTGGACGAAGGTAGCAGGCAGGAACTGCCTCTTGGCCTAGCTGAGCTGAGCTGAGCTCCTGGCCCAGACTGGTAGAGGAGCACTTCTTTCCACACCCTTGAGCAGGATAACCTAGTGGGTAGAAGCTTAGGCTTTGAAATGGGGATAGAATCCACTTCCTCCTAGAGAGGTTGTGTGGGTTATGGAAGATGGTATGGGTGTAACTCTTAGCACAGTGTCTGGCACATAGAAAGTGCCTAATTTCTGGTGGAGTCCTGGCTTTACCTGGCTTTGCACTGTAGACTGGATGTAGCACCATCTCATGGGGCTGGATCATGAGGGCAGTTGGGATCTGTTGCGGTCTTTCAGCTGTTGAGACCAATCTGGGCTCTTTTGCAGAGAACCTTAGGAGAGGTTCTGGGTCTTGCTTCTCTTGGCAATTTGCCTGAGTCAGTTTATCTTTAAGGCTCAATGCTCTGTCCATCTGTTACAGTGGCATTCAGAGGAAGGGGAACTTTCTGCTAAGAAGAAAAGGTATTCTCTGGAACCTGCCACTCCCCAAAATTTTTTTTAATTACTTAGAATTTATTGAATATTAACAGAATTTGTCAAAAGTAGCATATTCTTCAAGTTGACCCTTTGTTCATTGAAGGATGAAAGGATTCACTGGCAGTTTGGAGAGAAGTTGCTTTAAGCTTGGTAGTGGGGATGTGGGACATGATTCCTTGAAACACTGACCTTGTACAAGGTCATTGCTCTGGAGCAGGGGTCTCTGAGCTGGTTTCAGTGAACTTTATGAAAAGCAATGTGATATTTTGAGAAAAGCAGTTATCTTTCATCAGCTTGTTGAAGTGGCCTTCAATGTAGAAAATATAAAGAGTCACTAGCCCTTAATGTTTCCTGGAACAAGATTTCAGGGAATGAAGCATTTAGAAAAGCTGAGCAAATGGAAAACCTGAGGAAATCATTTCAAAGAAAAGCAAAACCACAGAATCTGTTTCAATACTGGTGTAACTGTGACTCCAGAGGACTAAAGGCATAGACTGACTTCACAGAGGCCTCCTGGGCAAGGTTACCCACATGCCAAAGTAGCCTGAGATTGGAGTTAGTGCCGAGCCCTGGGCAGGATGCAGGAGCAGAGAGCTTTCATTTGGATATGGCCCATGATCCTCCATGACGCCCCATCACCTGCAAGGGTGACTGTGCCAAGGCAAGCCCTGGCTAGCAGGCGCTGCAGGCACCCTCACCAAGCAGGGAGAGCGCATTGTTCTGGAGCCTGGGAGACCCACTGCTTGCCAAGCAACTGCTGGGCTAGAGCCCAGGCTGTGCGGCCTCCATTGTAGAGGGAGGGTTTTTATGCATATCCATCCCTCACTCTGGAGTCCTGCACTTAATCTGCACTTTGGGCCTTACTTGGGGGTAAATAGCATCATTGTGCACAGAAATGCCAGACAGTGTTTTGTGTTGATAGAAACGTATTCAGAAAGCAATGCCCATTGTTCCCCCTGGCTAAATAATAATTCCGTTTCCAGGCAGTTTGCTGATTAATCAGACAGGTGTCTTTCGTTCCACCAAGAAAAACAAAATCTGTCAGCAAGATGATTAAGAATAGATAGGCATATTTCAAAACAATTAAAATAGCATTTTTACAAGTCTGGTCCTTTAAACATTGAGTAGCTGCCTGCTGTTGGAGGCTTTCAGGAAACACACACCACATCCAAGCATGCCATCCTGTTAATACGCAATACGTCTCTAAAGGTGCTCTTCAGGCATTCCTCCCTGAATATGTCTGAAACCTCACAAAAGAATAAAAAATAGAGGCAACCAAACCACTGTTGAGTCAGGAAACACAGCAGAGATTATATTCTGGTTAAAAATAGAATGACCTTCTCCACCATAAAGAGAAAATGAAATTAATTTAGTCAAGGAGACAAAGGTCACCGGATCCAGATGATTCAACTTTTAGAAAGGCCCAGCTGCCTTTGGCCTTTGAGTTGGGGACCCTACGTGTGGTGAGGGAATGAACAGCGCCAGTAGTGCCCTGGCCTTCTGTGGACGCACACCCGGCAGCAGTAGGCTCTGTGTGCCTTCGCACATGTGAGTTATGATGCAGCAATGCAGGAGAAGAATAAAGCAGCTGTCTGTTTCAGATGACAGGAATAGGCCACTGGACTCCATTCTCTCCCAGCTGCTGTTGGAATCCCGTTTGTAGGAGGCTATAGGGTGGTCTCACTGCACATGCGCAGGTTTCCTAAGTCTGGTGCCAAATGTTTTCTTGGTAAGAACTAAGTCCAGTGCTTTTATAAGAGAGCACAGATACTGTTGGACTGCAGGGTCACAGGTGCCCTTTAATCCTCCACACCTGGTCTAGTACCTAAGACGTGTTTTGTGAATAAATGACTAAATGTTTCTTATATTTAATTGTAAGAAAAAGCTTGAAATGAAGTAAAAGGAGCTTTGACTCCAGAAACATTGAAATGAAACAAAGGAGTTCAGCTCTTGATGAATTGGTTACCTCTTTTATCTTTCAGAGTCAGAGCTGACAAATTTGGCAGGATTATACAGAGATGAACGATTGAAACAGAAAGCAGAGTCGCTGAAACTTGAAAACTGTGAGAAACTTTCCAAACTCATTGGCCTACGCAGAGGTGGCTGAGAGGATAATGGTCCTACGCAGGGCTGGGGTTTTGCTACTTGTTCCTATTTATGTTCCTGATTCCATTTTATAATACAAAACTAGGTAATGATGAACACTTTACTATTTGCTAACTTCGTTGGTTGGGCAGAGTGGCAGGAGCATGGGCACGAGAGCCAGATGTGTCTTCACAGGATCCTTCCTGGGGAGTGGCTCCAGGGACCAGGAGTAGTTCATCTAAGTTAAATTAATGGCAAGGCATTGGATTCCGTCTCCCTGCTCCATGCCTACCCTGCCTATGTGAATGGAGTTCAGGGCATCCCAGAGCAGATCCATGCTTTCTTCCTTCTTCCCTTCTTCAGTGAAGTCTTAAGAACCAGGCATTCCTAGGCTTAGCCAAAGCTTAATATTAGTTATTTACACTGTCTACCAAGAATTATACCTCTCCCTTCATTAGAGTCATCATCTCCGCCAAGATTTAGCCTTTGGAACATGTTCCTGCCCAGCTTTCCATTTTCTAGGGGAATATGGAGAAATTTAAACTATTGTAGTCAATAGTTTTCTATTATTCCAATCTCTGCTCAGTTAGTAGCATTAGCAAACTGCCTAATTTGAGATTCCTTTATTTCCTTAACCCTCTCTCCTTTAGAGAGTCCAGAAATTAAAACTACTGAGCAGCATCTGGAGGCGGGGGCCAGGGCGAAGGTATAATGCAAGACCGAGCCTCATCTCCTCCACGAAGCCTCCCTACTCCATCATAGAACCCAGAGAATGTCCCTTCGGTCATTTCCCCTCAGTATCATCATTGGTGTCATCGCACTTAGGCTGAGTTCCTACATCCCACAGAGGCAGATGGTCAGACCCAGGAGGAGGCATTGCCAGCTCTCCAGGCTGTTTGCTCAAGCCTAGAGATAGAGGAGACAGATCCTCTCTCCTTGGATATGGGGGTCTAGCTTTGGCCCCAGCAGCCACTTTGTTTAACCCAGTATCCTATAGTTTGTGATTTGAGATGATTTTTCATTCATTCAACATTTATTGAGTGCCTACTATAAAAGCAGGGGCTCTCACACATATTTTCTTACTTAAACCTCCTCACAACTCTGAAGTAGATGTATTATCCCTGGTTCTATGAATGAGAACATTGGCCCAGAGAGGATGACCCAGGTCTTGTAGTGGCAGAGCAAGACGGTAGGCTGAGTGTCAAGTAGAAAGTGGGAGAGCATCCTCATGTCTCAGGTGATTCTAGCCAGACTGGCAAAGCAGAACCTTTCCCGAGGATGCCTCCGTCCTCCCCAACCCCATGACCCCTCATCTTTTCTGTGGCAATCTTGCATCTGTTCAGGACAACATCCCTGCTGCTCTTTAGGAAGCAGGACCCTGTCTAACATAAATTCTGTACACAAAATAAGAGGTCCCTCACAGGCAGGCAGCCCTCCACTGGTGACTAGGAAGAATTCAGTCACTGCCTGGGCTGTGTGGTTCTGGGCCTTCCTGTGGAGCTGAGCTGCCTGAATTATCATGACTCTGAACTTGGAAGGATCATTAAGTGACTGTAGCCTACACTCCATGCTTCCTTCATATTGGAAGAAAAGTTTCTGGTAGAGAGTCGGCCGGGTGCACTGGCTCAAGCCTGTAATCCCAGCACTTTGGGAGGCTGTGGCAGGTGGATCACCTGAGGTCAGGAGTTCAAGACCAGCCTGGCCAACACAGTGAAACCCCATCTCTACTAATAATACAAAAATTAGCCAGGTGTGGTGGCACATGCCTGTAGTCCCAGCTACTCGGGAGGCTGAGGCATGAGAATCGCTGCAACTTGCAAGGTGGAGGTTACAGTGAGCTGAAATCACGCCACTGCACTCCACTCCATCTCAAAAAAAAAAAGAGTCTACATTAAACAGATTCCAAAGTAAAGTTTCTTCATCCCAATGCATGGCCATGATTTACACAGACGTGCCTAGCATGGCTCATCAACATCTGAACGGTTGTTCCCTACCATGCCTCTGCAGGCATTCCACAGAGTCAGGAGATGGGTTCACAGGTAAAGATTGGGGGCTTTAGTGGCTTGTAGGGGACAACTGCTCAGTTGCAGGGAGAGGGAGCATTTCTAGAAATAGCCAGATTTTGCTGCCCAACTAGATCTGTCCTCCTGGTTTTAGGGGGCCCTTCTTGATCCCCTCTGAGTGACTGAGGGAGGTTACATTGTAAAATATGTCCATGAGCCAAACAGGCTTATGGAAAGTTCTTCTACACACAAAAAAATCAAAGCTCTCCTCTCCCCATCCCCAACCACTGCTAGAAAATTGGCCATAATGAAACTGACTTGACAGGTTAAAAGACCCTGTCCTAGATGCCCAGGAATCAGGTAGTCACACATTTTATGGACTTCATGGCAGCGATAAGTAATCTGTGATGATACTAAATAGAAGCAATAATAACTAACTCCATTAAATGTCACGCTGATTGTCTGTTTTTATAGCACCGATGGTACTGTTTTATTTATTGCCAATAGACCACAACATTCACATCTGTTTTTCCTCAAGGGAACCGTATTTGCTTTTGGTTGAAGGATTTATCTATTTGATACTATCCAGAATATTGTGAAGCTATAATTTCCTGGGTTATATTTTAGATGGGTTGTCTGCATGGTGGTAAAATAAGCTTTTTCCTCTCGCCTACGTCCTTTGGAAGATCTCCTGATCATACATAACTAGGTAGGGCTTATTCTTGCTGCCGGAGCTTGGCACCCAGCTCTAGACTGTTTCTTTGAGCATTACTGCAGATTGGAGACGTGTGTGAGAGGAGCAGCGCTCAGAAATAGGGCTTGAGGCTCAAGCAGAAACTGAAGCTCTCATTCAAATGAAGATGCTCTCTCTACCGCACGATCGGCAGTGAGAAAAGGAGGATGAAAATCCTTCTCATCACAAAGAGCTTGAAGGAACCCACGTCCCCAGATTAGCAACCCTAGAGTTCATCTGCTCAGGCCGGGAAATGTGTAAGCTTCCTTGATCAGCTCCAGGCCTCACAGCACGGGAGCAGTGACCAGTAAGGAAACGTCACTGCTGTGCTTTCTGTTGGAAATTGTTCGAAAATACAGTGAACTGGCCAGGCCCAGTAGCTCATGCCTGTAATCCCAGCACTTTGAAAGGCTGAGGCAGGCAGATCATTTGAGGTCAGGAGTTCCAGACCAGCCTGGCCAACATGGTGAAACCCTGTCTGTACTAAAAATACAAAAATTAGGCGGGCATGGTAGCACGTGTCTGTAATCCCAGCTCCTCAGGAGGCTGAGGCAGAAGAATCTCTTGAGCCTGGGAGGCAGAGGTTGCAGTAAGCTGAGATCACATCATTGCACTCCAGCCTGGGTGACAGAGCAAGACTCTGTCTCAAAAAAAAAAAAAGAAAGAAAAAAGAAAATACAGTGAACTCCAGATGCCACTGGAACATGGGTTCCAGCAGCCTGGCCAAGCTATGTGTCATTCTTTTTCCTCATGATACCCAGGATGGGCTTTGTGAGGAGGCACTGTGCCGTTCCAGTGGCTTTCTGTTACAGCTGGCCACACCATACAAGCAAGTACATCATCTGCATGCACTGCTCCTCACAGGAGCTTGCACTTCATTCATATTTATTCTGCCCTCATTTAAGGTATAAGCTTAGTGTCCTAATATATTTATTTTTGGAAAGGGCCAAGTTACAAAACATCTTTTTTTTGAGGCTGCACTGTTGATATGTCATGCAGTGGCCACCAAGAAAGTATATACTCGTGTTAGATACTGATTACATCATTTACATCACGCTCAGTATTTGGAATTAAAGATGTGAATGTTCTGTGACCAGAGTAGGGATGACACAAATGGAATCAGCTCCTGGTGGACTAAGAATCTTGAAAAAATCTGGCCACCTCATCCACTACATCTGGATTGAGTGTACTGCAACAAAGAAAAACATTAAACAATTTTATATTAAAAGAATGGCTACTTTTCCTTGGTTCTTTTACCTTTGCCCATGGCATCCTTGGCCACTGCACATCGCCTGACTCCCTTGGAGCCACTTCCGACTAAAGAAGCTTTTGACGCCTGCTCCAGTCTTCCCTCACCCGTCAGTGGGATTATTTGCATTTAGAATAGTAGATAGCATTGTTGGCATCAGTTCCACATTTTCTATCAGATAACAGCAGCTGCAGTACCTCACAGCCAATATACAGATCAAAACTACACTTAGCATCAGAAATTCAGGTGTTATCCCAGTTCCTTGCTGGCTTTGGTCCTAGTGGCCCATATTTAGGAAAGTTTTGGTTTAAAAATATAGTAAATGATATTTACATGATCCTAACTGGTCATGATAGCTTTCATTTGAAAAAGAAAGTGAGATGAGATTCAATTCAGCAATGATTGAGAACTTACTCTGAGCCAGGTGGGCTGGGTTTTTGGAATGGGGGTCAGGGAACAGGTGAGGCCCAGCACCAAGACTCCTGGAGCTCACATCTAATGGGGAGGCCAGGCTTTCCACAGCACTCCCCAGTGCAATGAATAGCTAAAGGGAGACCAAGGTGACCACAGACTGTATAACAAAGGGATTTAACCCAGTCTGAGGGGTCAGTGAAAGCAACTCTGAGGAAGAAATATGTGAAATATAATCACCCTTCCTACAGAGATGAGTAGATTTTTATTTAGTGAAGGAGAACGGAAGCAAGACTTCCAGT
>NW_009646199.1:0-139087 GCF_000001405.40 Homo sapiens | reverse complement strand
TAATCATACGTGTGCATGTGTCTTTGTAGAAGAATGATTTATAATCCTTTGAGTATATACACAGTAATGAGATTGCTGAGTAAAATGGTATTTCTAGTTCTAGATCCTTGAGAAATCACCACACTGACTTCCACAATGGTTGAACTAATTTACACTCCCACCAACAGTGTAAAAGCGTTTCTATTTCTCCACATCCTCTCCAGCATCTGTTGTTTCCTCACTTTTTAATGATCGCCATTCTAAATGGTGGGAGATGGTATCTTATTGAGGTTTTGATTTGCATTTCTCTAATGACCAGTGATGATGAGCATTTTTTCATATGTTTGCTGGCTGCATAAATGTCTTCTTTTGAGAAGTGTCTGTTCGTATCCTTCACCCACATTTTGATGGTGTTTTTTTCTTATAAATTTGTTTAAGTTCTTCGTAGATTCTGGATATTAGCCCTTTGTCAGATAGAGACATTGCAAAAATTTTCTCCCATTTTGTATGTTGCCTGTTCACTCTGATGATAGTTTATTTTGGTGTGCAGAAGCTCTTTATTTTAACTAGATCCCATTTGTCTACTTTTGCTTTTGGTGATTTAGTCATGAAGTCTTTGCCCATGCCTATGTCCTGAATGGTATTGCCTAAGTTTTCTTCTAGGGTTTTTATGGTTTTAGGTCTTATGTTTAAGTCTTTAATCCATCTTAAGTTAATTTTTGTATAAGCTGTAAGGAATGGATCCAGTTTCAGCTTTCTGCATATGGCTAGCCAGTTTTCCCAACACCATTTATTAAATAGGGAATCCTTTCCCCACTGCTTGTTTTTGTCAGGTTTGTCAAAGGTCAGATGGTTGTAGATATGTGGTGTTATTTCTGAGGCCTCTGTTCTGTTCCATTGGTCTACTTATCTGTTTTGGTACCAGTACTTGCTGTTTTGATTACTGTACCCTTGTAATATAGTTTGAAGTCAGGTAGCGTGAGGCCTCCAGCTTTGTTCTTTTTGCTTAAGATTGTCTTGGCTATGTGGGCTCTTTTTTGATTCCATATGAAATTTAAAGTAGTTTTTTTCAAATTCTGTAAAGAAAATCAATGGTATTTTGATGGGGATAGTATTGAATCTATAAATTACTTTGGGCAGTATGGCCATTTTCACAATATTGATTCCTCCTATCCATGAGCATGGAATGTTCTTCCATTTGTTTGTATCCTCTCTTATTTCCTTGAGCAGTGGTTTGTAGTTCTCCTTGAGGAGGTCCTTCACATCCCTTGTAAGTTGGATTTCTAGATATTTTATTCTCGTTGTAGCAATTGTGAATGGGAGTTCACTCATGATTTGGCTCTCTGTTTGTCTGTTATTGGTGTATAGGAATGCCTATGATTTTTGCACATTGATTTTGTATCCTGAGGCTTTGCTGAAGTTGTTCATCAGGTTAAGGAGATTTGGAGATGAGACAATGGGTTTTTCCAAATATACAATCATGTCATCTGCAAACAGTGAAAATTTGACTTCCTCTTTTCCTACTTAAATGCCCTTTATTTCTTTCTCTTGCCTGACTGCCCTGGCCAGAATTTCCAATACTATGTTGAATAGGAGGAGTGAGAGAGGGCATCCTTGTCTTGTGCCGGTTTTCAAAGGGAATGCTTCCAGTTTTTGCTCATTCAGTATGATATTGGCTGTGGGTTTGTCATAAATAGCTCTTATTATTTTGAAATATGTTCCATGAATACCTAGTTTATTGAGAGTTTTTAGCATGAAGGGCTGTTGAATTTTGTCAGATGCCTTTTCTGCATCGAGATAATCATGTGGATTTGGCATTGGTTCTGTTTATGTGATGGATTATGTTTATTGATTTGTGTATGTTGAACCAGCCTTGCATCCCATGGATGAAGCCAACTTGATCACTGTGGATAAGCTTTTTGATGTGCTGCTGGATTTGGTTTGCCAGGATTTTACTGAGGATTTTCCCATCGATGTTCATTTGGGATATTAGCCTAAAATTTTCTTTCTTTGTTGTGTCTTTGCCAGGTTTTGGTGTCACGATGATGCTGATCTCAAAAAATGAGTTAGGGAGGATTCCCTCTATTTCTATTGTTTGGAATAGTTTCAGAAGAAATGGTACCAGCTCCTCTTTGTCCCTCTGGTAAAATTTGTCTCTGAATCTGTCTGGCCCTGGACTTTTTTTGGTTGGTAGGCTATTAATTACTGCCTCAATTTCAGAACTTGTTATTGGTCTATTAAGGGATTTGACTTCTCTCTGGTTTACTCTTGGGAGGGTGTATGTGTCCAGGAATTTATCCATTTTTTCTAGATTTCCTAGTTTATTTGTATAGAAGTGTTTATAGTGTTCTCTGATGGTGCTTGTTTTCTGTGGGATCAGTGGTGATATCCCCTGTATCAGTTTTTATTGTGTCTATTTGATTCTTCTCTCCTTTCTTGTTTATTAGTCTTGCTGGGGGTCTATCAATTTTTTTCATCTTTTCGAAAAACCAGCTTCTGCATTCATTGATTTTTTGAAGAGTTTTTTTTGTGTGTCACTATCTCCTTCAGTTCCACTCTGATCTTAGTTATTTCTTGTCTTCTCTTACCTTTTGAATTTCTTTGCTCTTGATTCTCTAGTTCTTTTAATTGTGATGTTAGGGTATCAATTTTAGATCTTTCCTGCTATCTCTTGTGAGCATTTCGTGCTATAAATTTCCATCTACACATTGTTTTAAATGTGTCTCAGAGATTCTGATACATTGTGTCTTTGTTCTCATTGGTTTCAAAGAACATCTTTATTTCTGCTTTCAATTCATTATTTACCCAGTAGTCATTCAGAAACAGGTTGTTCAGTTTCCATGTAGTTGTGCAGTTTTGAGTAAGTTTCTGAATCCTGAGTTCTAATGTGATTGCACTGTGGTCTGAGAGACGGTTTGTTAAGATTTCCATTCTTTGCGTTTGCTGAGGAGTGTTTTACTTCCAATTATGTGGTCAATTTTAGAATAAGTGTGATGTGGTGCTGAGAAGCATGTATGTTCTGTTGATTTATGGTGGAGAGCTCTGTAGATGTCTATTAGGTCCACTTGGTCCAGAGCTGAGTTCCAGTACTGGATATCCTTCTTAATTTTCTGTCTTGTTGATCTGACTAGTGTTGACAGTAGGGTGTTAAAGTCTCCCACTATCATTGTGTGGGCATCTAAATCTCTCTGTAGGTCTCTTAGAACTTGCTTCATGAATCTGGGTGCTCCTGTATTGGGTGTGTATATATTTAGGATAGTTAGCTCTTCTTGTTGCATTGATACCTTTACCATTATGTAATGCTCTTGTCTCCTTTGATCTTTGTTGGTTTAAAGTCTGTTTTATCAAAGACTAGGATTGTAACCCCTGCTTTTTTTTTTTTTTTTTTTTTTTGGCTTTCCATTTGCTTGGCAAATATTCCTCCATCCCTTTATTTTGAGCCTATGTGTGTCTTTGCACAGGAGATGCGTCTGCTGAATACAGCACACCGATGGGTCTTGACTCTTTATGGAATTTGCCAGTCTGTGTCTTTTAATTGAGGCATTTAGCCCATTTATATTTAAGGTTAATATTGTTATGTGTGAATTTGATCCTGTCATTTTGATGCTAGCTGGTTATTTTGCCCATTAGTAGATGCAGTTTCTTCATAGTGTTGATGGGCTTTACAATTTGGTATATTTTTGCAATGGCTGGTACCAGTTGTTTCTTTCCCTGTTTAGTGCTTCCTTCAGGAGTTCTTGTAAGGCAGGCATGGTGGTGAGAAAATCTCTCAGCATTTGCTTGTCTGTAAAGGATTTTATTTCTCCTTTGCTTATGAAGCTTAGTTTGGCTGGATATGAAATTCTGGGTTGAAAATCATTTTCTTTCAGAATGTTGAATAGTGGCCCCCACTCTCCTCTGGCTTGTAGGGTTTCTGCCGAGAGATCCACTGTTAGTCTGATGGGCTTCCCTGTGTGGGTAACCCGGCCTTTTCTTTCTGGCTTCCCTTAACATTTTTTCCTTCATTGAACCTTGGTGAATCTGAATTATGTATCTTGGGGTTGCTCTTCTCGAGGAGTATCTTTGTGGTGTTCTCCGTATTTCCTGAATTTGAATGTTGGTCTGCCTTGCTAGGTTGGGGAAGTTCTCCTGGATAATATCCTGAAAAGTGTTTTCCCATTTGGTTCCATCCTCCCCATCACTTTCAGGTACACCAATCAAATGTAGATTTGGTCTTTTCACATAGTCCCATATTTCTTGGAGGCTTTGTTCATTTCTTTTCACTCTTTTTTCTCTAATCTTTTCTTCTCGCTTTATTTCATTGAGTTGATCTTCAAACTTTGATATCCTTTCTTCCACTTGATTGATTCAGCTATTGATACTTGTGTATGCTTCGTGAAGTTCCCATGCTGTGTTTTTCAGCTCCATCAGGTCATTTATGTCTTCTCTAAACTGGTTATTCTAGTTAGCAATTCATCTAACCTTTCTTCAAGGTTCTTAGCTTCCTTGCATTGGATTAGAACATGCTCCTTTAGCTCAGAGGAGTTTGTCGTTACCCACCTTCTGAAGCCTACTTCTGTCAATTCGTCAAACTCATTCTTTGTCCAGTTTTGTTCCCTTGCTGGTGAGGGTTTGTGATCCTTTGGAGGGGAAGAGGTGTTCTGGTTTTTGGAGTTTTTAGCCTTTTTGCGCTGGTTTCTTTCCATCTTCGTGGATTTATCTACCTTTGTTCTTTGATGTTAGTGAGCCTCGGATGGGATCTCTGAGTAGACATCCTTTTTGTTGGTGTTGTTACTATTTCTTTCTGTTTGTTAGTTTTCCTTCTAACAGGCAGGCGCCTCTTCTGCAGGTCTGCTGGTGTTTGCTGGAGGTCCACTCCAGACCCTGTTTGCCTGCATATCACCAGTGGAGACTGCAGAACAGCAAAGATTTCTGCCTGTTCCTTCCTCTGGAAGCTTTGTAACAGAGAGGCACGCGCCAGATGTAAGCAAGAACTCCCCTGTATGAGGTGTCTGTTGGCCCCTGCTGAGGGGTATCTCCCCATCAGGATACACAGGAGTCAGGGACCCACTTGAGGAGGCAGCCTGTCCCTTATCAGAGCTCAAACACTGTACTGGGAGATCCGCTGCTCGCTTAAGAGCTGTCAGGCAGTGACGTTTAAGTCTGCTGAAGCTGCGCCCACAGCCACCGCTTCCCCCAGGTGCTCTGTCCCAGAAAGATGGAGGTTTTATCTATATGTGCCTGACCGGGGCTGATGCCTTTTTTTCAGAGATGCCCTGCCCAGAGAGGAGAAAATCTAGATAGGCAGTCTGGCCCTAGTGGCCTTGCTGAACTGCTGTGGGCTCCGCCCAGTTAGAACTTCCCTGCAGCTTTGTTTACTCTGTGATAGTAAAACTGCCTACTCAAGCTTCAGCAGTGGCAGACACCCTTCCTCCCACCAAACTTCAGCATCCCAGGTCAACCTGAGACTGCTCTGCTAGCAATGAGAATTTCATGCCAGTGGATCTTAGCTTGCTGGGCTCTGTCAGGGTGGGACCCGCCAAGCCAGGCACCAAAGGGAATCTCCTGGTCTGCCAGTTGCAAAGACCATGGGAAAAGCGCAGTATCTGGGCCGGAGGGCACTGTTGCTCCCGACACAGTTGCTCCCGACACAGTCTCTCACGGCTTCCCTTTTTTCCTTTTCTTTTCTTACTGCATTTGCTAGTTCTTTTAATAATGTTGAATAGGCGTGAAAAACAGAACATACCTTTTGTCACTCTTAGAAGGAAATAATGAGTTTCTCACCATTTAGCATGATGTGAGTTATAAACCTTCTGATGATTAATGTATCAAGTTGAGGACACTTCCCTCTAATCCTAGATCACTGAGAGTTTTGATCATTAATGGATATGGATTTTTGTCAAATATTTTTCATCAACTCTTGATATGCTTGATTAAATTACTTATTTTTGCATTTGAACCAGCTATACATAGCTAGAATAAATCCCATTTGGTTGTGATATGGAGGTTTTTTTTTAATAAATTGATGGATTTGGGCCTCATAGAGCAAGTTAGAAAGTGCTTATCTCTGCTTCTGTTTTGTGAAAGAGCTTGTAAATGATTGGTATAATTTCATAAATAAATGTTTTGGGGCACTCACCAGAGAAACAATCTGGTTCTGGTTATTTCTTTATTGGGAAGTTAATTATTGATTAAACTGTTTTTAACACATATAATAATATTAAGATTATTTTTATAGTAACCAAAGTTTCAAATGATATTGCCTTTTTACTCTTTCCATCCTTTTTTTCTGATGCCCTCCAGTCTCCTCCATATTCCATTCACTTTTAGAGGAACTAGAGTGGTCTAGGCAATTTTAGAATATTTCTAAAGAGAAGATGGGCTGGTAGAGTTTGGGTGAAGTGGGATGTAGCTATCAGTCAATTTACCATTTAGTGAAGTTATTGACAGCTGTCCAGGATAGGACAAGCACCTCCCACAAGACACTGGGGACTAACATTCAACATGGGATTTGGGCAGGGGAAAATATCCAAACTATATCAGATGATATAGATGTAATTCTTTAAATTTGCATGGAAATTACACCAAATGGCTTTATAAAGTCTTTCAGTTCATCACACTATAGCTTAGAAAAATTGTGATGGTGCATTTCCTCAAGATATTAATTATATGTTGGATAGTGTTTTTATATGTTCTTATAGACAACCTAGGATATGAAATAAGCTTCCATTAAATACAGTGTTAACTGCTGGAATGCATTTAGTGAAACCAGTGCTTCTAAGAATGATGAATTGCAATGTAAAATTTGTAGTAATTATCTTAATCAATGTTTCTTTTGCTACCAATTTAATTAATTTTCTGGTTTTGACTTCCTTAAATGACCCATTAGTGTGTCCCAATGATGTTATTTCATACATGCATTTTAAACACTTGCGCTAGAAATATACTTAGAAGAAATGATTTATTTACATAAATTTCCATATGAATAGCAATACAGAATGATGTCCTCAGATAATTTCAACACTCAATTACAGTAAATAGTTCACCTAAGACGAAGGACTATTCTAGAACAAAGAAGCTAAACTGAAAAAACACCCAAATAATGCAAGAACTAAGATCAGATCTTAGTTTAGAAGGAAATTAACAAAGCTTTAGATCCATTTTTCAGACTCTAGAAAATTTGAATTTATACTCAACTTTAGATGGTATTATGGTTTATTATTAATTTTCTTAAGCACGATCTTAGTTTTGTTTTATATAGAGAGATACTTTCTCTCAAGATATGCTAAAGTAGATGATATAAAAAGATAACAATTTAAAAATTTTGAGTCTATGTAGTGAGTATGAGTGATACTTATACCCTTCTTTTTTTGTAGGATTGGAAATATGTATACTAAAAAAGCTTTGGGGAATTTTTTTTTTCACCAGGAGGTTTTTGAATCTGCATATCAGATTCATTTTTCTTTGTTTTCAATAGGTTTTGGAAATTATCAACAAGTAATTTCTCTGTCTCTGTGCTAAAATATTAAGGTTGGGAGAAAAACAGCTTAGTTCTTCGTTCTAGGAAACATCAGCTCTTGGGAGATGAGCCTGTGAGCCAACTAAAGTATCTTACTTTTCAGGACTAGCAGCTTGTGCACCAAGTCTCACTTCAAGATTTCCACCTTGGCTGGGCGTGGTGGCTCATGCCTGTGATTCCAGAACTTTGGGAAACTGAGGTGTAAGGATCCCTTGAGCTTAGGAGTTTGAGACCAGCCCGGGCAACATAGTGTGATCCAGTCTCTTCAAAAATAAAAAAAGAAAAAGTTAAAAATTGGCTAGTCAAGAGGCTAACAGGTTTTGGGGCTCACGTGAGCCCAAGGAGTTGAGGCTATAGTGAGCCATGATCATGCCATTGCGTTCCATTCTGGGTGTCAATGAAACCCTGTGAAAGAAGGAAAGAAAGAAAGAAGAAGGAAGCAAGAAAGGAAGGAAGGAAAAGAAAGAAAGAGAAAGAGAAAGAGAAAGAAAGAAAGAAAGAAAGAAAGAAAGAAAGAAAGAAAGAAAGAAAGAGAAAGAAAGAAAAATTCTACCTCAATCTCAACTAGATCTAGCTGCAGAGTAAAATAAAAAAGTTTAAAACAACTGTGTAGGTATCGGGAAATTTAAACATTATATGAATATTAGATGATATTATAATATTGTTATTCATGGGTATTATATGTGGTTCATGAAATATGTGGGAGGCTTTTTCTTTAACCTTACAACATGCTGAAATATTTTGTGGCAAATTATTATTTATTTTTAGATGGCACAGAAAAACCAATGACATATAGATAAATAAAACACAAGTAAGTATATACAGAACAAATGTGAAAATTATAGAGTGTAACTGGAAGATATACATACGTTCATTGCATTCGTTTTCAACCTTTGTATGAAAACTTTCATAATAAAAATTTTAGGAAATGTTTACACTCAAAAACTTTCTAGGAAAGCATAGCAAACTTACTACTTCCTCATTGTTAATTGTGTCTCTCAGATGGTTATTTTGAGATTCCTGCAGTTTACCAAAAATCTTGTGAATATTTTAGTTTGAGAATCTAAAGTAAGTATTTTTAATATCCTACCAAAGAGCTTTTCCAGTTTATTCAAAATCTCATTCTCAGAAATCTAAAAATAGACATTTACATTTTATATCAAATGTTCTATGTTATTCTTGAGTAGATTCTTTGGGAAAAAATGCACATACACACCTATGTTTACATACACACATACACAAACACATATACATATATATATGCATAATGACACATGTATTTAAAATTAAGCAAAACTCCCTTCTAATATTTTAAATGAGAGAAGAAAAGCAAAATAATAAACATAGCTATTTTAGCATTTAATGAAAGAAATGGTATTTTAGAAGCTTGAAAATGATAGAGTTCTCTGCTGAGGCACTCCATCAAATTCATGAATCACTGCCTCTGCTTCAAGAGTGTTATTACAATTTGAAAAGGGGAGAAAGAACAAGAAAGAAAAAGTTTTAATCCTGATCTGAAAAAAGGGAATAAAAATCATGGCATTGACATCTGAACTTTCAAACAGGTAAATGAAGGCCTGTTTTCAATTGACAGTCCCCTGACTTATATTTAGTTCAAAATTACTATTCTTGCCACTTCAAATTTCAGAGAAATTGGCAATCTGGTGTTGCAAATGCTGAAAGTGAACAAGATCGTCACAGAAAGGCAAATACCATATGTGTCAGACTTAAAATAGAAGCAATTTTATTCTGAGGCTTGGATGATAAAATATCCACTAATACTAACTTTGCTTGGCATTTACAATGCTTGATAATTCTAAGAAAATAATAATAATGTCTATGGCTTATATTTTAAACATGTTTTTTCAACATTTATTTATTATGAATGGATAATTTTATAGAGATAGAACTGTACATAAACACAGATATGTATATGTGTATGTATGTATATAAATGCATATGTTTATATATGTATGAATATATATATGCAAACCATATTTGTGTAGGCATATATGTAAAAATTATATGTGATATATGTACATTATATATATGTATGTACATATGTTCATGCACATGCACACATTATGTGTGTGTGTTTTTTTTTAGAGAAAGGGTCTTGCTATATTGTCCAGGCTGAACTTGAACTCCTGGTCTCAAACAATCCTTCAGTCTGATCCTCCTGAGTAGCTTGAACTATAAGCATGAGCCACCATACCTGGAATCATGTGTATATTTTTAAAGCTTTATTTTGTCAGGTTTCAACTTAAGAGAACAGAATCATTTTGAGTTTTTAAAACAGAATTCAAAAGGGCATTGCTTACGAAAGTAATCCAATGCTGAGAAGTCATCAGGGTGCAATCCAGAGAATAACGAGAGCAGAAAACCACTCTTAGGAGGCCCTCTAGGAGGCTAGCAGAACAAATGAAAGGGCAGAGTTATTTTCAAACACAAAACCCAATCTGGAACAAAACTAGCAAATTCTGCTTATTCTTAAACTTGCAGCCAGAAGGAAACAAACTACTGTCACTTTTGCTTCAGCAGGAATTCAAAATGTATGAGAGGACAATAGTTTCTTGGAGGAAAATGAGAAAATATTGTGATAGTTACATGTTCTATTAGGGTTTATTAGATGGAATTCATAGGAGGCCATTGTTTTGAACTGAACATTTACACTAGGCCCTAACAGACCAAACCAAACTCGAGATGCCACACAATCAAACTGAACTTTAAAACAGGCCAGTTTTAGATAAAACAGGAGATTCACAACAACCAATCAGAAGGGGCCCAATTTACCTGAGCCAAGAAGATAAGGAAGTCCCTTCTGTTTCAACCCTATGATAAAACCAATTTTGAAAGCCCAATCCACTTGTTTCTTATTCAGCTCTTTTCTGCCTCTAAAGCTGACTCCCTCTGCTTAGTTCAGTAAAGCATCTTTCCAAGTCTTTAGATGAGATGCTGCCCTCTTCATAAATCACTAAAAAAAAAAAAATCCAATTATATCTTTCTTTTTTAGTAGATGGGATATTTGGAAATGAGGTAGACTTTCTAAATGGCTTTCAAATATGTTTAGCAGCCTTTTATTTGCTTGCTATTAATTTTTTCATGACTGGGAAATGTCCGTGATGGGCAGAAAAAGAGGTTTTCCTGTTTTTTTAAGATTATCTTAAGATATTTATCAAACTCTGGGTGGCAGGAGGCAGGAAATATCTGGGCAGTAGCAAAAGCCAGGCAGGGCTTTCTGCCTTTGTGCAAAAACATGTTGTTCTTAGTTCCCAAAGTGAGATATGCCTCAGGAAGCAGTTGGATACTGCAGTCAATGGTCCACATTGGGTCCATACGTACTGTACTGTGGGAGCCAGAGCCAGATCAAACACTCAGTTGAGGCCAGTTCAGGGAAAGGATGTGAGCATGGTGGTGTGGGTGGTGGTGAGGATGTCAAAGATAACCCAAACTGGATATCTGGTAAAACTGTAACTTGTGAAAGTAAGGAAAAGAGGTAAGCTTCATTCCGATTTTCACAGAGGTGATTTAAAGAGAAATAAAGGAGGATAAAGCGGGGAGTGATCTGGGACTCAAGAAGAGTGAGAGAAGTGAAGAATTACTAAGGGTTGGTTAGCATAAACGCAGTGAGGCCAGCAGTGTCTGCTACCTGGCAATGATCAAAGTTAGGACTTTTTCCGGGCATAAAGAGTGGAAGACACTGTCCTTTCTGACAATTACACTTCAAAGGAATGGTTTTCAGGTCCTTGAGACAGCACTCCTGAGCTGTAGGAAGTACACATAAATCTCAAATGGACACAGGAAGGATTCACAATTGTAAGCCCCTTTTAGTAAATGGTCTATTTTCTAAAAAAAGGGCCTATATCAAGTGCTAGCTAGAATAAATAGTTGTTTACACAGCCCTAAGCTTTACTAGACAGAAACTCAAAAGGAGTCTCCCCAGGGACACAGCCTTAGGCTGCTAGAAGCCAAGTTAAAGTTTGGTCAAGTCTTAGAGCAGAGGTTTGCGTAGCAACATTTCCATTGCTG
The DNA here is from genome assembly GCF_000001405.40 of Homo sapiens. Classification (NCBI taxonomy): domain Eukaryota; kingdom Metazoa; phylum Chordata; class Mammalia; order Primates; family Hominidae; genus Homo; species Homo sapiens. The sequence continues at coordinate 127,581 of NW_009646199.1, read as the reverse complement.
TGGGATGTCAGCTCCTCAGCATAAGATGGTATGGAGTAACTTAATACCAGGTGAGTCAGCCACTGACAAACTACTTCAGTCATGAAAGCTTTATTGATGGCATGCTGTGATGGTGAATAAGGCATTTTGGAAAATACAAGAATTGTTAAATTAAATTTACAGGAGGCTCTTGGTTTGGACTGAGCTCCTGCACTAGACCCTGCAGACGAAAGCAAAATGGAGTTCCTCATAATGGAGTTCCACACCAACAAGCCAAAATGAGGCTGTTTATCTGACCTTCCAAGGAATCAAGAGAAGAAATAGCCAAATCCCTAAACAGGACAGTTTAGCGAGCATGAAAAGGAAGTCCCTCCTGCTTTATTTAAGCTTTACAAAAAAAAAGTAACTGAAACAACCAATTCACTTTTTATTCTTTGTTTCCGCTTTTGTCAAATATTTTCTATCTATAAAGCCAGTCTCTGCTCAGTTCATCAGAACACTCACTACTTTATAGAATGAGGTGTTGACTGATTTTAGAGTTTCAAAGGAAAGCCAGTTAAGATCTTTAAACTAAATATTTGTAATTATGTATTTTAGCAGACATATAATGCTGTCAGAAGAAAGGTAGTGAGAAAAGGTAAATACATCAGTAGAAAGATAAATAAAGCTTCCTCCATGTTAGAAAAGTTCAATGTAATCAATTATTCATCAAATAATGGTTTTATATTGGGGTTTACCATTGGCAATAGATTGGATTCTAAGCAGTGGAATTAGCCAGATCAGGCTGTGTGAAACAAGAATCACATTTTGACCTCATTATGGCTGATGTTGTGTGGCTGTGTCTCCACTCCAACCTCATCTTGAATTGTAGCTCCCACAGTTTCCCTTGTGTCATGGGAGGGACTTGGTGGGAAGTAGTTGAATCATGGGGGCAGGTTTTTCCTGTGCTATTCTTGGGATAGTGAATAAATCCCATGAGATCTTACAGTTTTATAAATGGGAGTTCCCCTGCACACGTCCTCCTGCCTGCTGCCATGTAAGACATGCTTTTCTCCTCCTTTGCCTTCCACCATGATGGTGAGGCCTTCCCAGCCATGTAGAACTGTGAGTCCATTAAACCTCTTTTTCTTTATAAATTACCCAGTCTTGAGTATGTCTTCATTAGCAGCATGATAACTGACTAATACAATGGCTACACAAAAAAATGAACCCATCGAAGGAGTACCACAATGTCTGTTGAAAACACTGATGAAAAGCCACAGAATAGGTCTAGTTCTCCATTAGATTTGTGAAATCCTCCTCTACATTCTCTATGTTGAGCATTCACATGGGATATAAATGTCTCCACAGACCATCCATATTGTGTGAATTACTTCACATATCTAGAACCCAAAACTCCTTGTTATCAATCTTCTAGCCTTCCTTTTTTAAAAGCCTTTGATGAACAAGATACAATATTATTAACCACTGCCCGTATAGGATTATAAATCCATATACCATGAGCTACCACTTTTCCCATACAAAATAAGACAACTGGATACATCAGTTAAAGTTTAAGGAGAGTTGAAAAAAACTGTAAAATAATGCCTCTTTTACATTTATAGATTATTTGAAAAAAGTTTCATAATCATATTTATTTACATGTTATGAATTTGTTATTTTAAGTGAATTATAAATTATAAATTAAAATATTCAAAATAAATATTTTTAAGATATCTGAATTTTCTCCTTAATATGATATACAGGAACAATCAGAAAGATTTAAGCCCACTTATTTGAGTTCCTGGCCTTTCTGCTAGCAATTGTGAGTTCCTTGCTTCTAACTTCAAAGGCCTTCAATTTGTTCCTTTGGAATTATTCTTTCCTATTTTTCTATCCTATTGTTCCCTATCTGTTGTTTGCTTTTCTTTTTTTTCTGTTTCACACTTCACTTAGAATAAAGTGCAGCTCTAGCTACCTCTTTCTTTTTAGTTTCTCATAAAGTGGCATTCCTCACTCAGGATCCCTTTATACCAGTGGCTCTACATTAGGTGCTCTTTTGTTACCAAAGTGAGCATTTAACAATATCCAGATACATGATTCCTTTTCACCAATGTGGGTGTGCTACTGAGATCTAGTGAGTGGAGACTAGGGATTCTGCTAAATCCTGTAGCACATAGGACAGCCCCCAACAATAAGGATGTTTCTGGCTCATAATGTCAGAAGTGTCTGTTCTACACTTTTAAGCATCCGAGAGCCCCATTACTCGTTAAACATTTAAGAGTGCTTTCTTTGTTACAAGAATTATATATTTAGAAGGAAGAAGAGTTTACGATGATTTCTGTCTTAAGGACCACACATATGAAATACTGCAAAGGCTTGAGTTGAGCCTGAGTAAAAGAATTAGGGAGGTTCATGTGAAAATGATAGGCATGAAATCAAGTACTGATATACAATTTGTCAGAACAGAGAGAAGAAACTATGTTCAGAAATATGTATAGGTTATCCACTGCTGCATAATACATTTTGGAAAATTCAGCAACTCAAAACAGTAGACAATTGTTATCACAACTTCTGTGAGTTCGGAATCCAAGCAATTTACTTGTTCATTATTTCAAGGTCTCTCGCGAGACTGCAATCAAGGCTTCTGCCAGGGTTACATTCCCATGTGAGGATCAACTGGAAAATAATCTGCTTTCAAACTCATGTGGTTGCTGGCAGAATTCAATTCCTTGTGGGGTGTTGGATTGAAAGCTTCAGCTTGTGTGTGGCAGCAAGCTGGAGGTCATCCTCAGTCCCTCGGTGCCTGTTGGGAGGGGGCTGCCCTTCACTCCTTGACATGTGGACCTCCGTTACACGCCTGTTTGCTTCATCAGAATATATAAGCTGAGGAGGCAATAAAGACAGCCTGCTAACAAGATGCTGTTTTCATCCTAACATAGAATAAGCACAGAAGAGTTATCTCATCGCATTTGCCATATTATTTTGGTTAGAAGCAAATTATAGAGCATAAGGTCTCACCCATGCTCAAATGGAGGATGTCACACAAGGGCATGGATCCCAGGATGCAGAGATCACTGGAGCCATTTTAGAGCCTCCTTGCAGTATAAGATATAAAGGAGTATTTGATCCAGAGAATCTCCTAAGCTATCACTTTTTGAACATTATGGAAAGGAGGTAGGAAATAAGGAATATAATTAGGTGAAATCAGCAGAACTATGCACACTGAGTTAATTGTAAGGAAGAGGATATTTCTAGTAGTTGCCAAGGATTCTATATTACATGATACATTGAATAAGATGGTCTAACATAACACTTAGAGTCAATGATACCATAAACAAACCAAAGTTTGTATCAGTAAGAAGCCTAAATGTGTTAACATACGCGTTTCAAAACTAGCTGTTATAATAGAGTATGTGTTAGCACTGACATCTATTATACATATTTTTAATCAATTATATCAGGGTTTTTTGAGATTTAGGAAAAGATACTCAACATATAATTGTTTGTGAAATACCATGTCCCTCTGCCTTAAAGAACTAACTTATGAATAAATTAAATACAACTGGAGCTACTGGAAAGATAAAAGTATATTGACTAAATATTTGTCTGTATAAGCAGGCAAGAAAATTTATACTCTGTCATTGCAAAAGCCATAATGTAACATTTTATAAAACCGGAAAAGTATATTTTACTTATATGTGAATAAGAATGCATTATGAAAGGCCTTAGGAGATAGTTACTTAGTATTATTTCTGCCAAGACTTTATTTCTACACTCTGTCTCACTAGGATCTTACCAGGGTTCTCCATCTATGATTTAAGTGGTGTGTGTTTATGATTAGTAACGAATAATCTTGCATTCATACCAGGACTGTGATCTTTCTTTATGTTTCCTTGTCTGCAGCCTTGATGTTTGATTATTCATTCCTAATCATATTTAATCATTCTTCAGCCTCTTATTTTGCCATTTAAAATCTGTTTGATATTGACGACATAGAGAAAAAAAATATTTTCCACCATGACTCCTGCTTTAGGAACTTTATTTTTTAAAACACTAAGCTTGTGGTAATTTGTTATTGAAGCCATACAAAATTAATACCCTTGTCTTCTCTGTCTCTCCTTCAAACTCTTTCATCTATTCGACACAGAATGCCGTTTGCTGTGGTCCTTACAAAAGTGTATCTTTTTTCATCATGTTGGTAACATCTCAAAAGTTTCTTTCCAGAAAATGTTTTCCTAGCCATTCTGGATAAATAATATCTGTCTTCCAATAACCTGAAATCACAAGAATCCTGAGTGAGACTTTTCCTTTTCTTTTCCTCATAATGGAACACCCAGAAAGTACCTTACCTGTTCTATATTTAATGCCTATCTTCCTCCACAAGAATATAAGGTCTACAGTAATAACTTTTAAATTTTTCTTATGGTAATTGACTTCAGTTACTAAAATTTTGTCCTCAATCTAGGTTACTGAAGAATGAGTAGAAATAGTTTCACTGAGAAATGTCTGTATCATGTTTGTTTGTTTGCTCTTCCTCTAAATATTGGCTTTGCTCAATAGTCAATATTGTAGGTACCAACCTCCCTGAAGATGTTTTGTGATTGTGTAGTTCCCAGCTTACTTAATTCTTTTGGTTATTGCCACTGACTCTCCAAGAAAGTTGATACTGTATTTAAGAAAAAAGATGAATAAGAAGTAATTATATGCCTTACTTTCTGAAACATTAATGAATTTTAAAATATCTCATGTAGGAAAATAATATAATTATGCTTTTCCTTAATTATAGTCTTATACTACTTGTTTTTATAAGAAGCTCATATAATTAGCCATTGTTATTGGACCATGCAATATGGGATGTTATTTAGTTAATAATATTTCACCTAGCCCATCCCTCCATTTTTTTTATTTCAGTGTAGTTTGTTAAATGATTTATTTTGTTTTTCATTTCTCCTTATTTCCCCCTTTTTCTATTTCAAACAAATTGCCAGACTTTTCATAATCTCTCACTAGAGGGATATTGCCATATCAAAAGCAAATGATCTTGATTTAATTAATAGTTGCTGCCTTTTAAACCCCAAGCATAATGAATGGTATACATTAGGTTTGGTTAGGGGTAAACAGATGGGGTCGGGCAGGGAAGTTAATGACCTTTAAAAACAGTATAAGCTGAGAATGTGTCTTTTTTGACTTGGAAGGGGAGAGAGATCTCCTTGTCTTTTACCAGGCAGCACCCAGATGACTGGTCCTAGCATCTGGACCTGACATTTCCTAGTATCATCAAAGTTTCTTTTGCCCCATTAATCATGCCAAAGCAGAATATTCCAAGAATCTGATGGAAACTTTTAAACTGGGACAATATATTTCTCAGTACGAATTTGTGGGAGGGGATCAAAGAATCATCACTATACTTTAGTGATGTGTGTAAAATCTTAGTTTTTCTTTTTTTTCTTTTCTTTTTTTTTTTTTTTTTTGAGACAGAGTCTTGCCCTGTCACCAGGCTGGAGTGCAGTGGTGCGGTCTCGGCTCACTGCAACCTCCGCCTCCCAGATTCAAGTGATTCTTCTGCCTCAGCCTCCCACGTAGCTGAGATTACAGGCATGCAGCAGCACACCAGGCTAATTTTTCTATTTTTGGTAGAGACGGGGTTTCACCGTGATGGTCTCGATCTCCTGACCTCGTGATCCTCCCTCCTCGACTTCCCAAAGTGCTGGGATTACAGGCGTGAGCTACCATGCCCAGCCAAATCTTAGTATTTTTATCATCTTTAAGCAGAAAGCCTCCATCATGAACAGGATTGAATTTGTCATCAGCTTAGTCAAATGTGGCATTGGAATTAAATGAATCTAGATTTAAATAAATTTTAAAACAAATTTTACTTCATTCATATCATTCATACCTAGGTTTGTGGTTATAAAAACCATTTTTGTTATTTCACCAAATATACCCTTTATTGATATAGCTCATCATGTATTTTTTCTCTGAATGAAAAAGGTTTTTTTTTTATTTCCTCTGACACTAAATTACCTATAAGCATCACAAACTTCTAAGGCATGTCAACAATATAAAGCTCTAATTAACTAACTGGCCCACATAAAAACCATTTATAGGGATAGAGATTAATAAATCTAATGATGAATGAATCATTTATGAAAGCTGAGTCTGAATTAGCATCAAGTAGTCATCCAAAGCTCAAATTATATGCATTATGTGAAGTTATAGAGTAATGTCTGACATTTGAAGGTCATATAAAAGACAGTCTTCAAAAAATGGTGATAATTTTACATATATCTATCTATATGAGATTGGAAAGACTGCCTATTTCTCCTATAGAGGTCTAAAATTTGAAGGATAGTGGAGATTGTTGTGTATTCAACAGCTTAAACTGCTTCTTATTATTTGTGACTATTTCCTGCTTCATTACCTTTCTTCAGAAAGAGGTAATAAATGCAAAATCTTCTGTCAAGACGCAACCCTTGTTCTTACATTACTCACACCTGCTTTCAGCATAAATGTCATGCAGTACGTAATGTGAATTTTTCAACAGAACTCAAGGCAGACTTTTTTCTAATTGAAAGAAAATGTGCCTACCTTCATCTCTTCTTTCTCAAGCTACTCATCCTCTCTTTTTCTGTGTGATTTTTAGCATGAGGCTTTTTGTAAAATTCAGTTCATATATGCACAATAGCATACAAACTAATTATAAGAAAATAGTGGAAGCTTTGAAAAATGACGTATCAAAACATTGCTACTCCGCAATGTAACTTTTATTTAGAAACTTCCCACATAGGCCCTGTGGCAGCAACTTACTCAATAGGCCTTCTTGTCTGATCCAAAGCACTTACTTGTACCTACACTGTGAATTCAATAATGGACTATAAAGAATTCTTCCCAAACAACCATTGCATAACCGTTTGCACATCTTTATGAGAAATATGTCTTTAAGGAGGAAATTGGAATTCAATATTTAAGACATTTGAAAGAAGAAAGTCAATAAAGTGATAAAGATGAGATGGATGGTAAGACAAAAGCAGTGACCCTGTGTCTTAGCAGGCTGAGCTTGTGCAGTGTTGCAATCAGCTTATTGAAGACGGCTTTTAAAAGGTTATTATTCTATTCTACTGTAAGTGTTGAGAAACTGTTTTTTAACTGCAAGTTTTTAAGTCTCAATTTTTTATCTTACATGCCTGTTTCTTCCATTTGTCAACAGTGAAATAATACACTGTGAAGTTATTGCTCTTTCTCAGCATTTCTGTGTCTGGGAAATGGTCCACTTGAAAAATGTCCAAGACCTCCTTAGGCCTGTTTCAGTGGGAGAGGTATAACCCTTCTCTTCTCCCCAATGCACAGATGCAGTGTTACTAGGAGGGCACTCTGTACCATCTTTATATGGGTGTAAAATACCAAGAAGGCAGGTCTGAGCAAAGTTTATTGACTATTAGAAAGTGGAAAAGAGTAGAAAGTCTCAAATGCCAGCCAAGATCCTTCAACTCTGCAGACATGACTGTAGGACATTTATAATAAAATGCAAGTTTGATCAAATTGGAAATATGAAAATTACAAAACAAAAAGATCACAGATGTTCACAAAAGATTGATATATACCTGAGGTTCATAAACAAACATGGGATTGTATATATTTTTTTCAGATAGGTAAATTATTTGGATATTAAATAGTACAAAATCTGAATTTTGAAGGAAACAAAAGTAGTTAATGTTTTTTAATAAACTAGAACTTGCAAAGGTTAGGTAGCTTTTTCTAGATCATGCAAATAGTAAATGGTGGGGTTTAAGATGTGTGGAAAAAAGATATAAAGAGATATATAAAATTCAAGCTGAGATTTAAAACAATGAAATAGCTTATAAAAATTAGCTTATGGTCCTAAAAATAGCTTTTGCATAAATTATATTCTCAGACTTATAGCTTTATTATCTTATTTTATGGGATTTATTATAAATAAATTTTTTATACAGTGATTGAATTTTGGGTAAAAATATAACAGTCCCTTCTTGTGCATATATTACTTAACCTCATCAGTATTCAAAAGTTCTGATCATTTTTTCCCTTTTCAGATACATTCTTTTTAATTCTCATGCATCACTACGTGGTTTTGCTCATGCAGCTCAGTGCACTTCAGTCTTCTAAAGTGCCTCCTGTATCAAATAAAATTTTACGTTCTGCAGTGATCTCCTGTAGTCACAGTTTTAATCTCATTCTACACATCTCCATGTGACGATGAGAATCTTTGGTTTCATGGACAGTATCACTACCAAGTTGCAAAACCAGAAAAGGGGGCAGTGTAATTTTGTCTCTCTCTCTCACTCATGACATTTACTGGCATTAACCACCACATCTCCATATTTAACTAATGCATTCCCTTTTCTTTATCCTTACACCCAATCACCTTGAACTCTTGTCCAAGCCACCATCAACTCTTGCAGAGATGACTGCAAAACCATCTTCTAATGCATTCTTCATACAGCTGGCATAGAGAATAAGGGATAATCCAATGTTATAATTCTTCAAGGGCAGTTTTTAAAATGACATTGTGTGAAACTTTTCTTCTTAAAAATATATTATTCATTTTTAATTTGATTTTTGGCAGTAGTATTTACTTCATTAAAATTATAATTTCAAACTCTGAATTTTTAAAAATTTTTACATTTAGCTTTCACATGTTCTGTTTTATTTATGTCTAAGAACTGTAAATCACATTTAATATTCTAATGCTTATTGTCCTTAACAGGGTTAATTACTTAAATCCCTTTAAATATTTTAAATCACACATATTTTTAATGTATATGATCTCTTGATTAAGTGCTTAAGTAATGGTTTAGCATACAAATCTACATAATTAATTCTTATAAATATAATAAATTATAGTTATAAATATGATTATTATTTGTAGCTTATTTAAGTGATACAAGTATATTTATAAATTTAATGTGATTTTGGCCTAAAATCACAAATCATATATTTTAAAGTGAGATCCAAAGACTGATCTATTATTCAAATTTTGCACATTCTCACATTACAAATGCAAGTAACTTCTGTTTAAGATCAGTAATAAGGTCCTATCAAATCAGATGTTTTGTGTGAAGACAATAACCAGGAACTCAATTCTACTTATTTATTTATTATTATTATTTTTTTTTGAGATGGAGTTTCACCCTTATTGCCCACACTGGAGCGCAATGGCACAATCTCCGCTCACTGCAACCTCCACCTCCCAGGTTCAAGTGATTCTCCTGCCTCAGCCTCCTGAGTACCTGGGATTACAGGCGCCCACAACCACGCCTGGCTAACTTTTTTGTATTTTTTAAGTAGAGACGGGGCTTCTCCATGTTGGTCAGGCTGGTCTCAAACTCCCAACCTCAGGTGATCTGCCGGCCTTGGCCTCCCAAAGTGCTGGGATTACAGGTGTGAGCCACCGCGCCCGGCCAGTTGTATTTATTTTAGGCAGATACATGTACAATACATGTCTAATTAATGCAAAACTTCCAATGATAATCAATGTAAAATGAAAACACACTTGGGGAAAATGCCTATGTATAAGTAACAAACTATTATGTTAACATTTAAACATGCTTTAAACAACATTTTCTCTTCTCTAAACATTTAATGTGGTTATTTTGAACAGGTTCTGTGCATTCATTAGCATTTACGTAGTTGGCATACCATCCCCAAACCTTTACATTTTCAATATAGCTTGGCAAATAACCTAAGACAAAAAAAATACATCTGTTCAAAACATTGCACACAAAAATTCACAATAATAGACCAGGTGATTTTCTAGAGGGAATGACACTCACTAAGTGACTGATGATTGAAAGGGTGAAGAAAATTGAAAAGAGAGGAAGGAAAATCATTGACACAGCCATCATAGTTGTGAAACACACGGTGACAGAATGTTGGCAAATTCAGACAAGTTGTCATACTCCGAATTAAAGATAGACAGGAGAAATAATAAAAAATCAATCACTGTAATTAAACACCTCAACAGAAAAAGTAATGCATGCAGAAAAAGCATTTGACAAAATGTATTACCAATTCCTCTCACAACCCTGGCCAAATTCAAATAATCACCTATTAATAGTAACAATACTTGTAATCACTAGATAAAGGCAATGTCTGCCAAGATTCCCCTTTTTATTTTGAAGTTTGTAAGTATTTTGGGGGGGGTTATTTTTTGATTCTGTAAATATCTAAATATCTACAATCTCATGAAACCCCTAATTTATCCATTAATGTATGTTTATATCTGTAGACTGTGGATTCCTGTTTTATTCAATAAGTTATAATCTCTTACTTTTATAATCAAAATTGTTTATTTTGATGCTTAAATTTTCCCACATTTGGTCAGTGGGAGTCACTATCGGCTTGCTGCTTCTATTTTTACTTTTTGCTTGTTTTTTTTTGTTTTGTTTTGTTTTGTTTTTTTCCTATTGGATGCATCTCATTAACCTTTCTGGCAAAACAGAGTGACTCAGGCTCCTCAATTTGTACCTGCAACTATATCTAAATATCTAAACATACTGAAAGTGTTGATTACCAGTGGTAGGTCCAATTCTTATTTAACAAGATAGTTCATTCTATTAATTCTAATTTTCTCCTTTTTCAGATTTGTGATTCACCTAACTGATATAAGAAGGCTTGCTACCATTATCCTCAGGGTGTTAATGTATTTGACCAATCCTTCTGTTTGTAACCAACCTCTCTTTGTAGCTGACACTCGCAATACTCATTTTACAAACATTCTGATGACCCCATACATGTTCCAACACCCAAATTCACCTCTGTACCCCACCACAGCGACACCCTTCTCTCACTAATAAGGCCTTGAACACCTCATCCACGGGATCAACCTCACAAACAGAAGTCCTCCTCATTTAGCTCAGAATCTAAATGCCCAGTAGGGGCTACTGGAGTTCATTCTTCCCTTTAAGCCAATACCTACATGTCTCAGCCACACGTAGGCGTTTTTTGGACCAAATCACTTCAGAAAGAAAAAAAGTGGAAAGATAAAGAGGAATGGATAAAACTGAAAAAATTTTCTATATTTTAAATGATGGAGTTTTTAGATGATTGAGAAGTGCAAATAGCCAGCTGTAAGAAGGAAGCAGTTATAATGGTTTAAACGAAGGCTAAGCTAATGTAGGAAAAAATAACTTATTCCTTCTTTATTTCCACTTAATTGATCATACATGTGTGGACACTTTTTCTGCTTAATTATGTATTTGACTTATGACTATTCCATTGATTAGTACTGGTCAGAGAAGGAAAAGGGAGTCAGACAAAAATAATCGCCCATATTTAAGTATATAATGGAAAATAACAAATAAGATATTCCGTAGAAGTACTTATAGGACTAAGACACATATGAGCATGGGGAGGTAAGAGGGTGAGAAGGAGAGATAGAGAAAGGGAGAAGGACAGATAGAGAAACAGACAGAGACAGAGGCAGAGAGACAGATGGACTTACTCATTGCAGCCTTTTTTATCTCTATGCAGTGTAAGAATTCTTTGGTATCAACACCTTCTAGAATAGAAAAGTTAGAAAAGAAAAACTATTTAAAGCATTTTTAACCTGTATCATCAATTTCATGAATGTACTTTTTATTTACCTTATGATCCATGTCAATAATGAGGTCATGTTACATTTTCATGTTTAAGATAAATTAAGTTGGAACAAGAGTAGGCTTTATCATTCAAATGTTCTGAAATCAGTAGCATTTTTTTGTTTATTTGTCAGTCTAGCTAAGAGATGCATTTGTTCTAGGGTGGGTTATTTTGTTTGTTTTCAAATCTCATTTAAATATTATAAATGTAATATAAACACGACTTATTGAATATAACTACATCATTTAATATTGAAGGAATTTTAAGTTATTTTTTTTTTTTTTTTTTTTTTTACATTTTTCCAGAGATTTAATCATAAAAATACACAGCAAGAATTCTTCCACTACTTTAGTGAAATAGCTTTCTGTACATTATTAGGATAATTGAAGGGCCCCAACATTTTTTATAAGTTTACAGTATGTATTAGGAAACCATACTATTTTGGTTTCACCATCTCTAGAGTGCTATCTTACTTCCCTTCCTCCCCACCTTCCTCTTTCCCTCCCTCTTTTCCTTCCTTCCTTCTTCTTTTATCTTTGTTTCTTCTTAAATGCATTTATTTCCACTATGCTTTCACTTTGTTTTGACAATTTCTTATACTAGTTTATACATTTTTATATGTTAATTTTCAGTTGGCTTCTTGTGAACAAATGAAGCCTTCGGACGCCCTATTCTTTTTTTTTTTTTTTCTTTTTTTTTTTTTTTTTTATTATACTCTAAGTTTTAGGGTACATGTGCACATTGTGCAGGTTAGTTACATATGTATACATGTGCCATGCTGGTGCACTGCACCCACTAATGTGTCATCTAGCATTAGGTATATCTCCCAATGCTATCCCTCCCCCCTCCCCCGACCCCACCACAGTCCCCAGAGTGTGATATTCCCCTTCCTGTGTCCATGTGATCTCATTGTTCAATTCCCACCTATGAGTGAGAATACGCGGTGTTTGGTTTTTTGTTCTTGCGATAGTTTACTGAGAATGATGGTTTCCAATTTCATCCATGTCCCTACAAAGGATATGAACTCATCATTTTTTATGGCTGCATAGTATTCCATGGTGTATATGTGCCACATTTTCTTAATCCAGTCTATCATTGTTGGACATTTGGGTTGGTTCCAAGTCTTTGCTATTGTGAATAGTGCCGCAATAAACATACGTGTGCATGTGTCTTTATAGCAGCATGATTTATACTCATTTGGGTATATACCCAGTAATGGGATGGCTGGGTCAAATGGTATTTCTAGTTCTAGATCCCTGAGGAATCGCCACACTGACTTCCACAATGGTTGAACTAGTTTACAGTCCCACCAACAGTGTAAAAGTGTTCCTATTTCTCCGCATCCTCTCCAGCACCTGTTGTTTCCTGACTTTTTAATGATTGCCATTCTAACTGGTGTGAGATGATATCTCATAGCGGTTTTGATTTGCATTTCTCTGATGGCCAGTGATGATGAGCATTTCTTCATGTGTTTTTTGACTGCATAAATGTCTTCTTTTGAGAAGTGTCTGTTCATGTCCTTCGCCCACTTTTTGATGGGGTTGTTTGTTTTTTTCTTGTAAATTTGTTTGAGTTCATTGTAGATTCTGGATATTAGCCCTTTGTCAGATGAGTAGGTTGCGAAAATTTTCTCCCATTCTGTAGGTTGCCTGTTCACTCTGATGGTAGTTTCTTTTGCTGTGCAGAAGCTCTTTAGTTTAATTAGATCCCATTTGTCAATTTTGTCTTTTGTTGCCATTGCTTTTGGTGTTTTGGACATGAAGTCCTTGCCCACGCCTATGTCCTGAATGGTAATGCCTAGGTTTTCTTCTAGGGTTTTTATGGTTTTAGGTTTAACGTTTAAATCTTTAATCCATCTTGAATTGATTTTTGTATAAGGTGTAAGGAAGGGATCCAGTTTCAGCTTTCTACATATGGCCAGCCAGTTTTCCCAGCACCATTTATTAAATAGGGAATCCTTTCCCCATTGCTTGTTTTTCTCAGGTTTGTCAAAGATCAGATAGTTGTAGATATGCGGCATTATTTCTGAGGGCTCTGTTCTGTTCCATTGATCTATATCTCTGTTTTGGTACCAGTACCATGCTGTTTTGGTTACTGTAGCCTTGTAGTATAGTTTGAAGTCAGGTAGTGTGATGCCTCCAGCTTTGTTCTTTTGGCTTAGGATTGACTTGGCAATGCGGGCTCTTTTTTGGTTCCATATGAACTTTAAAGTAGTTTTTTCCAATTCTGTGAAGAAAGTCATTGGTAGCTTGATGGGGATGGCATTGAATCTGTAAATTACCTTGGGCAGTATGGCCATTTTCACGATATTGATTCTTCCTACCCATGAGCATGGAATGTTCTTCCATTTGTTTGTCTCCTCTTTTATTTCCTTGAGCAGTGGTTTGTAGTTCTCCTTGAAGAGGTCCTTCACATCCCTTGTAAGTTGGATTCCTAGGTATTTTATTCTCTTTGAAGCAATTGTGAATGGGAGTTCACCCATGATTTGGCTCTCTGTTTGTCTGTTGTTGGTGTATAAGAATGCTTGTGATTTTTGTACATTGATTTTGTATCCTGAGACTTTGCTGAAGTTGCTTATCAGCTTAAGGAGATTTTGGGCTGAGACGATGGGGTTTTCTAGATAAACAATCATGTCGTCTGCAAACAGGGACAATTTGACTTCCTCTTTTCCTAATTGAATACCCTTTATTTCCTTCTCCTGCCTGATTGCCCTGGCCAGAACTTCCAACACTATGTTGAATAGGAGCGGTGAGAGAGGGCATCCCTGTCTTGTGCCGGTTTTCAAAGGGAATGCTTCCAGTTTTTGCCCATTCAGTATGATATTGGCTGTGGGTTTGTCATAGATAGCTCTTATTATTTTGAAATACGTCCCATCAATACCTAATTTATTGAGAGTTTTTAGCATGAAGGGTTGTTGAATTTTGTCAAAGGCTTTTTCTGCATCTATTGAGATAATCATGTGGTTTTTGTCTTTGGCTCTGTTTATATGCTGGATTACATTTATTGATTTGCGTATATTGAACCAGCCTTGCATCCCAGGGATGAAGCCCACTTGATCATGGTGGATAAGCTTTTTGATGTGCTGCTGGATTCGGTTTGCCAGTATTTTATTGAGGATTTTTGCATCAATGTTCATCAAGGATATTGGTCTAAAATTCTCTTTTTTGGTTGTGTCTCTGCCCGGCTTTGGTATCAGAATGATGCTGGCCTCATAAAATGAGTTAGGGAGGATTCCCTCTTTTTCTATTGATTGGAATAGTTTCAGAAGGAATGGTACCAGTTCCTCCATGTACCTCTGGTAGAATTCGGCTGTGAATCCATCTGGTCCTGGACTCTTTTTGGTTGGTAAACTATTGATTATTGCCACAATTTCAGAGCCTGTTATTGGTCTATTCAGAGATTCAACTTCTTCCTGGTTTAGTCTTGGGAGAGTGTATGTGTCGAGGAATGTATCCATTTCTTCTAGATTTTCTAGTTTATTTGCGTAGAGGTGTTTGTAGTATTCTCTGATGGTAGTTTGTATTTCTGTGGGATCGGTGGTGATATCCCCTTTATCATTTTTTATTGTGTCTATTTGATTCTTCTCTCTTTTTTTCTTTATTAGTCTTGCTAGCGGTCTATCAATTTTGTTGATCCTTTCAAAAAACCAGCTCCTGGATTCATTGATTTTTTGAAGGGTTTTTTGTGTCTCTATTTCCTTCAGTTCTGCTCTGATTTTAGTTATTTCTTGCCTTCTGCTAGCTTTTGAATGTGTTTGCTCTTGCTTTTCTAGTTCTTTTAATTGTGATGTTAGGGTGTCAATTTTGGATCTTTCCTGCTTTCTCTTGTAGGCATTTAGTGCTATAAATTTCCCTCTACACACTGCTTTGAATGCGTCCCAGAGATTCTGGTATGTGGTGTCTTTGTTCTCGTTGGTTTCAAAGAACATCTTTATTTCTGCCTTCATTTCGTTATGTACCCAGTAGTCATTCAGGAGCAGGTTGTTCAGTTTCCATGTAGTTGAGCGGCTTTGAGTGAGATTCTTAATCCTGAGTTCTAGTTTGATTGCACTGTGGTCTGAGAGATAGTTTGTTATAATTTCTGTTCTTTTACATTTGCTGAGGAGAGCTTTACTTCCAACTATGTGGTCAATTTTGGAATAGGTGTGGTGTGGTGCTGAAAAAAAAGGATATTCTGTTGATTTGGGGTGGAGAGTTCTGTAGATGTCTATTAGGTCTGCTTGGTGCAGAGCTGAGTTCAATTCCTGGGTATCCTTGTTGACTTTCTGTCTCGTTGATCTGTCTAATGTTGACAGTGGGGTGTTAAAGTCTCCCATTATTAATGTGTGGGAGTCTAAGTCTCTTTGTAGGTCACTGAGGACTTGCTTTATGAATCTGGGTGCTCCTGTATTGGGTGCATAAATATTTAGGATAGTTAGCTCCTCTTGTTGAATTGATCCCTTTACCATTATGTAATGGCCTTCTTTGTCTCTTTTGATCTTTGTTGGTTTAAAGTCTGTTTTATCAGAGACTAGGATTGCAACCCCTGCCTTTTTTTGTTTTCCATTGGCTTGGTAGATCTTCCTCCATCCTTTTATTTTGAGCCTATGTGTGTCTCTGCACGTGAGATGGGTTTCCTGAATACAGCACACTGATGGGTCTTGACTCTTTATCCAACTTGCCAGTCTGTGTCTTTTAATTGCAGAATTTAGTCCATTTATATTTAAAGTTAATATTGTTATGTGTGAATTTGATCCTGTCATTATGATGTTAGCTGGTGATTTTGCTCATTAGTTGATGCAGTTTCTTCCTAGTCTCGATGGTCTTTACATTTTGGCATGATTTTGCAGCGGCTGGTACCGGTTGTTCCTTTCCATGTTTAGCGCTTCCTTCAGGAGCTCTTTTAGGGCAGGCCTGGTGGTGACAAAATCTCTCAACATTTGCTTGTCTATAAAGTATTTTATTTCTCCTTCACTTATGAAGCTTAGTTTGGCTGGATATGAAATTCTGGGTTGAAAATTCTTTTCTTTAAGAATGTTGAATATTGGCCCCCACTCTCTTCTGGCTTGTAGGGTTTCTGCCGAGAGATCTGCTGTTAGTCTGATGGGCTTTCCTTTGAGGGTAACCCGACCTTTCTCTCTGGCTGCCCTTAACATTTTTTCCTTCATTTCAACTTTGGTGAATCTGACAATTATGTGTCTTGGAGTTGCTCTTCTCGAGGAGTATCTTTGTGGTGTTCTCTGTATTTCCTGAATCTGAACGTTGGCCTGCCTTGCTAGATTGGGGAAGTTCTCCTGGATAATATCCTGCAGAGTGTTTTCCAACTTGGTTCCATTCTCCACATCACTTTCAGGTACACCAATCAGACGTAGATTTGGTCTTTTCACATAGTCCCATATTTCTTGGAGGCTTTGCTCATTTCTTTTTATTCTTTTTTCTCTAAACTTCCCTTCTCGCTTCATTTCATTCATTTCATCTTCCATTGCTGATACCCTTTCTTCCAGTTGATCGCATCGGCTCCTGAGGCTTCTGCATTCTTCACGTAGTTCTCGAGCCTTGGTTTTCAGCTCCATCAGCTCCTTTAAGCACTTCTCTGTATTGGTTATTCTAGTTATACATTCTTCTAAATTTTTTTCAAAGTTTTCAACTTCTTTGCCTTTGGTTTGAATGTCCTCCCGTAGCTCAGAGTAATTTGATCGTCTGAAGCCTTCTTCTCTCAGCTCGTCAAAATCATTCTCCATCCAGCTTTGTTCTGTTGCTGGTGAGGAACTGCGTTCCTTTGGAGGAGGAGAGGCGCTCTGCGTTTTAGAGTTTCCAGTTTTTCTGTTCTGTTTTTTCCCCATCTTTGTGGTTTTATCTACTTTTGGTCTTTGATGATGGTGATGTACAGATGGGTTTTCGGTGTAGATGTCCTTTCTGGTTGTTAGTTTTCCTTCTAACAGACAGGACCCTCAGCTGCAGGTCTGTTGGAATACCCTGCCGTGTGAGGTGTCAGTGTGCCCCTGCTGGGGGGTGCCTCCCAGTTAGGCTGCTCGGGGGTCAGGAGTCAGGGACCCACTTGAGGAGGCAGTCTGCCCGTTCTCAGATCTCCAGCTGCGTGCTGGGAGAACCACTGCTCTCTTCAAAGCTGTCAGACAGGGACACTTAAGTCTGCAGAGGTTACTGCTGTCTTTTTGTTTGTCTGTGCCCTGCCCCCAGAGGTGGAGCCTACAGAGGCAGGCAGGCCTCCTTGAGCTGTGGTGGGCTCCACCCAGTTCGAGCTTCCCGGCTGCTTTGTTTACCTAAGCAAGCCTGGGCAATGGCGGGCGCCCCTCCCCCAGCCTCGTTGCCGCCTTGCAGTTTGATCTCAGACTGCTGTGCTAGCAATCAGCGAGATTCCGTGGGCATAGGACCCTCCGAGCCAGGTGTGGGATATAGTCTCGTGGTGCGCCGTTTCTTAAGCCGGTCTGAAAAGCGCAATATTTGGGTGGGAGTGACCCGATTTTCCAGGTGCGTCGGTCACCCCTTTCTTTGACTCGGAAAGGGAACTCCCTGACCCCTTGCGCTTCCCAGGTGAGGCAATGCCTCGCCCTGCTTCGGCTCGCGCACGGTGCGCACACACACTGGCCTGCGCCCACTGTCTGGCACTCCCTAGTGAGATGAACCCGGTACCTCAGATGGAAATGCAGAAATCACCGTCTTCTGCGTCGCTCACGCTGGGAGCTGTAGACCTGAGCTGTTCCTATTCGGCCATCTTGGCTCCTCCCCGGAATTTTAAGTTATTTTTATATGCTTCAGAAAGGTGGACGATTTTCTTGTTGGAAAATATTATGGTTGATTCAGTTTTCATTTCCAAAGTGGAGAAAGGTATATCTACTATCTAAAAGTTATCATCCTCTCTACCTGAAATTTTAATCTAAGTTTTCAACAAAAAAGGATAGATTTGTTGGGCTGATTTTTTCAAAATGTCATGGCACTCGTGAAATGCTTTAATATATATTTTTTCTTATTAAAACCATCATTGTTTTAAAATAGCAACATACTTCAACTAATTGTAACTTAACAAGATATGACTAAATAAAAGGAATATAAGAAAAATATAATTGAATAATGGTGGATCTGCTTTTAAGATAAATCATAATTTATTCAAATAACACTTGAATAGAAGTTAGATAAAATGTATGGGAAGCTTAGGCAAGACATTACATAACAATAATTTAGAATAAATAAATCTGAACTTTTTTTTTCTGTAAGAAATCAAATAGTTAAAACAATGTGTTTTCAAAATTCCCTTAGCTCCAGAATTCTTTGGTAGCCTTTCTATACCTTAAATTTATTTATTTTATTATTTTTTAATCTCCTTTCTTTAATTCAATGCTGCTCTGCACATGACATAACAGACCATTCTGTTTCTCCTTTCCTTTAGAATCTGACTCTATTTTCTAAATACAGTTTATTAAGTCTACTTTTGGCCATTGTTGCTTTTCTTAGTGATAATGAAAACAGGGTGCATCATCCTATTATTTAATGTATTACTTATTGCCCCATTCTACATAATGAACCAACTTCCAAATTCACTAGCTTTAAATGACAGTCACTTTTTTTCTTAATACATCTACATGTCAGCTGTTGATTGGTTGATCTAGGTAAGAATGGCTGTGATTGTCCCAGAACCGTAAGTCAAATCTAGGTCTGCTTCACAAGTTTCTCATCCTCTTTGGACAGGCAGGCTGGTAGGAAAGGTGCTTTAGATAGCATCACACAAGTACATTTGATACCTTTGTTACATGACAAATGCTAGTATCTCATTAGCCAGAACAAGGCATGCAGGGTCCAAATTTGAGTGTAGGAAGGTACACTCCACCTCTATTGGGAGAAACTATCAGCTCTGATGCTGCAGGGCATGGGTATAGGGACGCAAGGGTGAATAATGGTGGCTTTTCATTCCAGTCGCCATACTTTTCATGCCTTTTGATATTAGGTATATTGTTTGTAAATGTTAACCTAGCCAATGTCAAAATTGAGGCAATTTCTCCTTAATTTATTTTTTTCATCCGTATCTTCCCCTGGAGCCATTCGTAGCCAGCACCCCTTCTCATCCTAGAATCAATTAAATCCTGCATTACAAGACACCAATAGTTTTTACTCAATTTTTAAGTGGTATTTGTAAATAACATATTATTTTTGTGAGTGTTGCTCATGTTCAAGAGCTCACAGTTGAACTGACCACTTGTTTCATGGATAAAATCATGCAAGTGCAAACAGTCTTTCTAGTGTTATTTCTGCTGACACACCTCGTATACTGCTTAATTATGCGAGGGTAATTAGACTCCTAGATATGAGGCCAAGCAAGGGGTGCCTTTATGGTCTAATAACGGGCAGACAAAAAAAGTTATTGTGTTTGTTGACAATAGCCAAATATTCGTAGGTCATTTCAGATGTATTTTGAAGAATACACATCCTAGCCATTAAAAGAGTTTGGTTTTGTTTGTTGTTTGTTTTTTTAATCTGGAACACAAGCTATTATTTACCTTCGGAAAATAACTATTAGGTATACGCTTAGTACCTGGTTGAATAAATAATCTGTACAACAAACCCCGTTACACGAGTTTACCTATAAAACCTTCACATGTACCCCTGAACCTAAAATAAAGTTAAAAAAAGAAAATCATTTATAGGCAAAAAAAATCTCAGGTACCCTATAGATACATATACCTACTATGTACCCACAGAAATTAAAAATTTTTTAAAAGAATATAGAGAAAATGGATCCAGTTTTTCACTCAGAAGTCAATAAAATCTTAAGATATTTTTCTGAAAAATTTGCTTGCTAAGTCTTTTTCTTATATTAAAACATAAAACACTCACAATATTAATATTAAATATTAGGAGATTTTTATAATGTTAAGCAGGATAACTAATCTGTCTTATAGACTCTGAAATGGATGAATTAATTGAACACTGTGATTAATATATTTTCTAATGAATACCATTTAATACTTTACAGACATTGCTTCTCAACATCAGAATGCATTAGAGCAGTGTGTGTTAATTTGTCAACTGTTCTTATAATAACTTCTGTTGAATATGTTATGCATGTAATAGACTCATAAAGATCAATATGTTTCAAAAAATGCTTAAATCTAAAAATGTGAAGAAATAGTGTAAAATTTCAGTGATGCACAATTTAAGAACAATAGTTCAGATTTGACTCTGCAATGATAATAATGCTGAGACTATTGAAAATATGGTGAAAAAGTAGAATCACATTGAATACTATATGAAGTAAATTTCAGATAGATTAAATACTTAAGTATTAAGCGATAAAATAAGTAAGATAACTCAGGGAAATACATGAATTAATAACATTTTTAATCAACTGGAAACTCTGAAATTACTTGCTAATAATCATTAAAAAATAAACTATATGTTATTGCAGTTTTAGATGTGCAGAAAAACATAAAGAGAATATGGAGAGTTCTGATACACTTTGCTTCCAGCTTCTCTGTTATTAGTATCTTACAAAAGTCTGGTTCATTTATTACAACTAATGAACCAATATGGATACTTTGTTATTACTAAAGTGCATACTTTTTAGATTTATTAGTCTTTACCTCATTTCAACTTTATTTTCCAGGATTTCATCTAGGATTCCAGACATTTAGTTGTTCTATCTCCTTAGTCTTCTCTTGAGTATAAGTTTCTCAGACTTTTCTTGTTTTTGAAAACCTTGGCAATTTTGTGGAATACTAGTCATATATTTTGTAGGCTGTTGCTCTATTTCGATTTGTTTATTTTTCTAATTATTAGACTGGGGCCATGTGTTTTGGGGAAGAAAAACATAGGGTAGAAGTGCCATCATCACAGATTATCAAAGGCACATGCCATCAACGTGACTATTACTGCAGATATTTACTTTAATCAGTTGGCTAAGGTAGTGTTTGTCAGGATTAAGTTATCTCCCCCAAGGGTTTTTTCACACTGTACTCTTTGAAATGCACTTGCTCTGCACAGCTCACACTAAAGAAGCAGGAAATTATGTGAGCATAGAGTATCTACATAAATTATTTTAAATTCTTCTGCATGGGATATTTGTCCCTACTTTCCCATTCACGTATCTATTCAATCATATATTTCTATCATTGCAGATTAATGAATATTTATTTTATATTTTAAGTTATAATCCAATACTATGTCAATATTACTCATTTTAAAAATTTTGTTGCTGAAGTTGTTTTAGCTTTGGCCATTGGAGGTATTAGAATTGTCACCGGTGTCCCTTTGACAGACTCTTATCATATGAGTATATGTGTTTGCTTGGTTTGTGTGTGTGTGTGTGTGTGTCTGTACTTCTTTTCTTTTTGGTACAAGACACTTCAGGCTCATCTTGTATGCTTTCTGTAATAATCCTAAAAAGCTGTAAATGATCCAAGGAGCTTCATATACTTGTTTCCACTTGGGTTGTTGTTGCTTCTAAGCCTTCAACAGAGATAGCAAGTTTTATGTGTGTATCCTAACTTACGTATATATGTTCATATATATCAATATTTCTGTATCTAACCATCTCTATCTGTATTAAACTAAACATGAGTTCCTACTGATGTCTCAGACTCTAATCAATTGCCATGTGAATAATTCTTTCTTTCCTTGCTCATCCGTGCACTCTCACCATTATATTAAGAAACTAAGATCCTATCATCTGCCATCAATTTACTTAATTGTAGAATTCCAAATTACATGTATAGTAATATCAGAATTATTAACCCATACCCTTGTGTGAAAAAACTTTATCAACAAGATCACTATATTTATACATTGTGTGTTTGCCTTTCATTTTACAGACTCCACTTATTTCAAAAATTATTTAGATTATCTTTTTGTTTCACCCCCTCAGTAAGCTTGCTTCACACATTTGTAAAATGGTTGAATTGTATTTTTTAAAATATAAATAAAAATAAATCTGTTTTATGGTGAAATGTAAAATAAGCAAATGTAGTTTAATAATGTTAGATATGAAAAAATTTGATTGGTATACTAAATGTATCACGAGCTCTTAAAATTGACAAGAAATATACAAAAACTCCGATAAAAATATTTGTAAGTGGAATGAGTATAAAATTTGCAGAATAAATGCTAATAGCCAACAAAAGTATGAAAAGATGCTCAAATTCCCAAGTAGCTAGGGAATTTCAAAAGAAAGTAACAGTAAGTTATTATTGGTGAGGATGCATACACTACAAAATAATAATTAAGGCCTTTTTTTGTGGATAAAAGGGAAAGGCCATTCATATAGATTACTTATGGAAATCAACCTGGCCACCAATTAAAAAAAATAGTTATACCCTGCCTCTAAAAAACTTCCCCTGAAAATTCACCTAAAAATCTATTTTTTGTTAAGGATACATATGCAAGAATATGTATCTCATTATTCTTCATAATGGAAAGAAAATGAAACATCTAAATATCCATCAGTTAGGGAATGAGTGAATTATGCTACATATGTAAAATTTAAGAGCATGCGTACATTTAAAAATTGAATTCTATGCCATTGATTTGGAAGAATATTCAAAAAATGAGGAAAATAAAAATGTAAGAAAAACAAGATGTATTAAGTTTCTTATAATGGTATTTCTTTAAAGCAAAATACACTTTATATGTATGTGAGCATTTCATAAAAATGAAATAAATCCTACATATTATTTTGTATTAAGTGTATTTGCAGTATTGAAGTAAGGGATGATGAAGAACGTGGATAATTTCAGTGATGGGAGAAATTTATGGTAGGTAAATAAGTCAAACTTAAAAAACTGCAAAAAAGCAATCAGAAAGGATCAAATTTATGCATATATATTAAATTATGTGAGTGGTATGCATATGAAAAATTAGATAAAATAGCATAGAATAAATTATATTACAGGCCCCTATTACTGTATTTAATTAAATATTTTTGTAATTATTTGTTACATGGTTTGCCATTTGACAGAGATTGCATATATATGGATGTGTGTGTGCTTGTGTGTGTATTTTAAGCCTATTTTATTTTTGTCTATATAGAGTAACATTGTTTCTCTGTATTATTATCATATAGTAAAAACATCTATACAAAATGTTTAATAAAAACTACAAGAAAATATGCAAATTACAAATGTATAAGTAGAAAAATATCAATTTAATTTGAATTATAAAATAATATCATACCTGAGCTAAAGAGCAACTGGGAAGTAATTAGCCATTAATTTTCATGTGACTTTTCTCAAAATATTGGTTGGCTTAGAGCAATTAACTTAATAGATGACTTCATTTTAAAACACCACTTTAGACTGAACTGAAAAGCATAATACTAGTATGATCTATAAAACCTTTCCAGAAAACTTTAAAAAAAGTGATGAACTCATTTCAATTATAGTAACATATACAGCCACCTTTCTATTATAGATAGAAATGTGTGCATGTACTATAAAATAATCTATATATCCACACACTGTAACATCTTCTTTTTCTTTTTTATAAAATATTTTCTAATTAGAAATTCAGTGAGTATTCATCCCTTAAAGTGTTATTAGCCTTTCTAGACTCTGGGATTTATCTCGTTCCAATAGTTATTCAAAATCAGTGCATTTCTTTTTCCAATAAAAATGGCTTATCTCAGGTAAATAGTATGTCATATCTAGAACCTCAAACATATTGCAACAGAGAATCTCAGAAAATTAAAATAGTGTTGGTTAAATATATGAAGTTCATATTATTGGCCCTGTGAGCAAAAGACAACGGAAAAGTTGGTCTTGGTAATCAGGGTAACAAAAAATGAATGTGATGTTTTCATTAGACATTGATTATATGGACATTAAGAAACCTCCATCATTCATTTGGTGTATTAACATTTTCCCAAATGTACAAGAAAATATTACTGAAGAACACTAGTGCTGCGCATGTGCACGTGCATGTAGTAGTGTTTTCCAGTATTTCAGAATTGGAGTCGACCCCTGGACAAGGAAAAATTTAGAACACTGTTGTTTTAGGGGAAGTGTTTACAATTTTTAATGCCTTCAATCTCCAGGCAAGTAATATGATGCTACAGCTGAGTTGGAGCTGATCACAAATCAGCGTGCGCATAACCTGTCTCAGGACATTACAATTCAATGTAAATAATAAAAAAAAATCTTTCACCAAACAAAATAAGCCCCCAGGATGAACCTGCTTTGCAGTCCTCAGATTTGTAAACTTCTGCCTCATAACAAGATACAGCTCTCTGCATGTACTCTTTTGAAATTTTCACGAAGTCAAAGCTTATTAGCAATGTTTTCACAGTGATATTATCCAATATGTCACACTGACATAATCAGAAATCATGTGTTAGGCCTATTTGGCAGAAATATTCAGGAGTTATTTAGTATGCTCCTATAAGAAAATATTCTACTTCTGGCTGAGATGAATTGACAGAAACAAGATATACACTCTTCTAACCTTAAAGAGTAAAATATGGGGAATCAAACAATTTTGATAACATTAAAGATAGAAACCAAATAAGTTAATCCTTACGACTGCCCTAATTTTTTGCTAAGAGCGATTTTCCAGGATGCAGAGAAAAATGAGGAAAACAGGTGAAGCCTGGCACACTCTAAATTTAGGAGATTTGAGACCCCAAAGAGCCTGTAGTTCACAGGAGAAAATACTGGTGTAACACAAACAGAGAACTCCGAGGATCTGCAGAGGGTACACCTCAATTACTGAGATGAGTAATGATTGGTATGTGTAGGAGAAAAGAACCATCCAACATATTTGAGGTTACAATGCCTGTAAAAGTGCCTGTTCTCATTAGATTCTCTAAATAATGTATGATTTACAAAGTGTTGTGTACAGAACACACAAGGGTCATGCCTCACGAATGGGGGATCCTTAGACTGAGAATTGATTTAATTCAGCTTAACAAACCTTAAAAGTAAGACTTAAAAGAAGCAGCCTGTTTTCAAATAGTGTAACTATGTCCCAAAGTAAACTCAAACTATTTATAGAAATAAATAAAAAATATCTCCAGAAAAGTTAAGACGATATTTGGCAACCAATTAATAATTACCAGGCATCACGTTCCCAAAAAAAAAGAAATAAAAAATAGAACTTCCGTATGATCCAGCAATCCCACTCCTGGGTCTATATCCAAAACAAAGGAAATCTCTATGTGAAAAGATATCTGCACATCCAGTGTTTATCACAGTACTATTCATAATAGCAAGATATGCAATCAGCCTCAGATATCCATCAACAGATGAATTGAAAATGTGGTGTATACACACCAAGAATGGAAAGAAAATGTAGTATATGTACACAATGGAATATTATTCCACCATAAAAAAAATGAAATACTGTCACTTTCAGCAACATGGATGAGCCTGGAGGACATTATGTTAAGTGAAATAAACCAGACACAGAAAGACAAAAATCGTGTTTTTTCATTCATCTATGGGAGCTAAAAAACAGATCTCATAGATGCAGAGGGTAGAATAGTGGTTACCAGAGGCTGCAAAGTTTATGGGAGGGGGCAATGAAGAGAGGATGGTTAAAGGGTACAAAAATACAGTTAGAAGGAATAAGTTCTAGTGTTCATAGCACAGTAGGGTAAGTATAGTTATCAATAATTTATTATATATTTCAAAATAGCTACAAGTGAAGATTTAGAATGTTCTAAACATGCAGAAATAATAAATGTTTGAGCCAATGGATATCCCAATTACTCTGATTTGATCATTACTGGTTGCGTGCATGTATCAAAATACCACATGTAACCCATAAATAAATACAATTTTTATGTATCAACAAACAAAATGCCCAGGCATGAAAAAAACTTTGAAATTTGACTCACAATGAAGATAAAAAACAATAAAATACAAATGATGTTGAATTAACACATACCTTGGAATTAGCAGGAAATAGAAATTGAGTCTATCACATATGTTAAAAAAAAGTTAAGTTGATATGAAAACTAGCTTTAAATGCAAATAGAATTGAGATGAGAAATAAAACTTGTAAGATAAAAATTACATTAAAAACTATTTAAAATTAAACATAGAAAGGAAAAGGGAGGAATCTGGCTCCAAGCCAAAATCTTGTGTGTGATCTTTGAGGCCCTGCCAAAGGTCATTATAAAAGTTTTCCATGCAGGTCTTGATGAAGAAAACTGACCTCCACAGCTTGGTGTGCACAGAGTCAGTGCAGCGCAGAGTCTGAAGGGAGTTACCAACAAAGTTTAAGCCCACAGCCTCCACCCCACACATGCCCAGGCTGAAGCTGGCCACAATTTTTCGTTTTTACTTAGATCTGCATTTCTAGCTCGAATGCCTCCCTAGAGGCCTCCTTATTAGGAGAGCTTCAGCCCAGGCCAATCCCAGGTATTTCCTTGTGGGGAGATATTTAACTACTAACAACATGAATTATTATTAAACAAAGAAAATTTAATTTATTTTTGATTCTGTCTTGGTAAAGCTATACTTATCTAGAATTTTAATTCGTTTTCCAACATATTAATTCCAACATTAATCATGTTCATTAATTTTATTTATAAGATATATATTTATGTATAAGATATACAACATTTCGTGTCCCTTCTTTCATGCCTCATGTCTTTATCTGTGCCTTCCCAATTAAGTTAAAAAGTAAATTTTTTGTGTGGTCACTGCATTGTTTTTTCAGCTGCCATCCTCTTAATTTAACCTCTTTTTGTTCCCTGACTTGCTATTCTCTGGATCTTTGGGTTCTTCTACTTCAACCAACGTTCCATATTGATTTCAGATTGTCTTAAAGTGCATCTTTCATCACTTAACTTTTCAGCTCAAATACTTTTACCATTCATGTTTTTTAAAGAAACATTTTACTCTACCAAAATCTAACTTCCGTATTATAGCCTCAAAAGTTTCATTCATTTAATAGTAATTAATATGTGCTTATTATATGTCAAGTATGAGGTTTTGCTGGTCAGCAAAAACATAATCTATTCTTTCATGTCCTTTCATTATAGTGAGAAAGTAAAATGTCAATTAAACAACTACAAACTCATGAAATTTCAGAAGTGCCATGATACAAAGGAGAAGAACCAATTCTATGACTGTGAAATAGAAGTATTTAGCTAGCAACATCAGCAGTTCTTCCCTAAAGAAGTCATGCTTCTATTAACAGCTGAAAAATAAATAACATTGGACTAGTAATTAACAATGACTGATAACATTAAAGAGCATGGGCCGGGCACGGTGGCTCACGCCTGTAATTCTAGTACTTTGGGTGGCCGAGGTGGGCAGATTAACTGAGGTCAGGAGTTCAAGACCAGCCTGGCCAACATGGTGAAACCCCGTCTCTACTAAAAATACAAAAAATTAGCTGAGCGTAGTGGCACACACCTGTAATCCCAGCTACTAGGGAGGCTGAGGCAGGAGAATCGCTTGAGCCTGTGAGATGGAGGCTGCAGTGAGCTGAGATCATACCACTGCACTCCAGTGTGGCCGACAGAGAGAGACTCTGTCTCAAAAAAAAGCATGTATGAAGATCCTGTAGCGAAGTGGATGGGGAATAGTGTTGAAAAGAGAAGGAATGCTAGCATGGCTGGAATGGAGCAGGCAATGTGGTGATGAGTTTGGGGTACAGGCAGGAGTCAGACTCCGGAGGGCTTTTATGGCCATATTTAGAAGACTGCTCTTCAATGATTCACAGTTGTAAGTCAATGATTACATGTGTTTTGTAAAAAGTACTTTATTAGCAGAGAAGTAATGTTCAGAAGAGGCCAGAGAGCTAGAGTCAAGTACCTGGGGAAGAATTCAAGGCAAGAAATGATTGTAGCTTAGACTAAAGTTGTAATGGTACAAAGATTACTGGAACCAGACAAATTATATTTTAGAGATGTAAATAACAGTACCTGCTAGGACCTGGGTTTAGGTACAGTTGAGGTGGTGACTTTTTAGTTGTATCTCTCTAATATATTTCAAGTTTATTCAATATTCTCTATGCTATCTATATTATCTGAATAGATTTAACATAATCTATAAAATACACTTCAGTAAAATGTTTTATTATTTTCAGTCATATCACTGGTTAACTGACTCTAAAACTAATCATCTATAAAATGTATTGTCCCTTCTACCAATACTTCCCAGTTTAATATCATTCTATACTTTAAAAAATGACATAAGTTCCCGAATATTTTATGTAAGCTTTTTTTTCATACTTCACCATTTTCACAATGTAACTTCTCCAAATAGATACTAATTGCCATGTTTGGTTCATGCATGTTTTTCTTTGCCTTTGGATATTTCTGGAAAGTCTTCTTGCTTGTCAAACAAGCACATTCTGATTATAACATTCACCTAACAGTTTTTGTTGTTATTGTTGTTTTGGCTTTCAATACTTTTGCATTTTGAAAGAATATTGTACTGGAATGGGTTAACATCATCATCTTTAGCATCCTGGTAGCATTATTCAGTAGTTAATAAACAGACTTTAAACTTCCGCCTGGCTGGCTTTTGAAATAGGAACCTGAGAGACCCCAAACTCAGCCACTCTTGTAGCTTCCATCTCCAGTTCTTTTAATCCTGGCCAAGATGGCGGCCGTGGAGACTTTCTTCCGGTCATAGTCCAGACTGAGGGCAGCCATGCAATCAATGAAGAATGTGGTTAAGTTGATGTGACATTTAATTCAAGTAAGTGAATGTCTTTGCCAAAGAACACTAAGCACTCTTTCCTTTGCACTAATTCTGTATCTTGTAAATTCTTATATTATACCTGGAATGTTTAAACACTGTTTTTATTTTGTTACAAGTCTACTCTCAAGCAAACAAATAAAAATGCCCTTTTTGTACATTATTGGTGTATTTCTAGAAGATATATTTGTTACGTGTTAGATGCTCATTAAATGTTTATTTCTTATAAAACCTGAAGTACATGCTAAGTGTTTACAAAAAATATATAAAGATTTCACTCTTTTATAAGGCGATATTTTAAAATGCAAAGTCTGAATCAAGGTTGCAGTACTCAATTTAAAATTTTGTTGATGAATATCATTTTTCCTTTGAAGGTTTTATATATAAACAAGAATGCATATATTCATTTAATTTACCCTTTAGAGTCTAATTATAATCCAGTGAGATTAAGTTCTCCGTTGTGATGTATTAGACACTGTGGAAAATTTTCTAGAAATTTCAGGCATAAAATAATTAAAATTGCAAAAGTGTAATTGAAGCCATTGGATTTCTTTAGTATATTGACTTCACACATATAGAAAATTAAAGTTTAATTGCTATTCTTGATGGATAACTCTGCTTCTATTAGCTCTGAGGAAGGTAAAATAGGCTTTTAGTAAGCAATAGAAATCCATCCAAACACATGTAATAGCATTTTCTGGGCTTGCTCATTATATTAGCAGTCATTGGAAATACAGTACTGATTCCATATATATTTTATATGCTCCAAATGGATGTTTTAAATTTTATATTAATGATATCAACTAAATAATTTTGAATACCATGGATGGAATCAAAGTCATTCTTCAATGTGTTTCTTATATATTAAATAATACTTTAGAAAAACATAGAATTCTTCATGTTTTCAAATCTATCCTATTCAAAGAAAGTGTCTTTGATTGCTGGTATGGAGACGGTTATGTGGTGTAGTGGTGCAAAGGATAGAATTTGACTTAACTCTGGTTCCTACTCTCCTAAGTGTTGATATAAGGGAAAACATGCCAAAGAAATTTTTCCAACAATTTTTCAGCCCCTAGACACCCACTCTGGGTTTTTCCACAGACATAGAAAAATCAATGTTCTAAAATTGGCACTTCTGTTTATATTTTCCCATAACCTCTAGAATTGATTTAGAAGTCTCCGTACCATGTAGATCTATAGACTCCAACTCAAATCATTTTTATGGGGCAGGGAATAAGATGCAAAACGCCATGGTTTTGCTGGTTCTGTTGACTTTCATTTTACTTTTGACCTATCATATAATTGGAATGCATAACTTACGTTTTCAGTGACAACCACTTACACAGTGTTTATTTTATCTTGAAATTATAAATTGTATAGAGTAAAATAAACATTGAATCATTGGTTAGATTCATGCCTCCCTTTCCCGTTTGTGAATTGCTTCTGCAGCACCACTGAATGATTTCAACATTAAGCCACATTTCATATTCTATCCTAGGAACCCATTACCATGTTTCAAACTCTCTCAAAATATGGGAAACTGAAATAATAATTACTCTAAAGTTGTGAAATAGCCACTGTAAGCTCTAATTATGGCTGCAATTGAGAATGGACATTCATGTTTATTAATAATTATTTATGTTAAGGGCTTTGTTTTGTTTTGTTTGCTACAACTTTTCAAATTTAGCTTATGTTCATAACTACAACTATAAAGCTGCTTGGTTATATTAAATAAATTGACTTCCTAAAAATTAAACAGTAAATATATTTTTAAAACTCATATTTTTATGTGTTCTAATTTTTGCTTCTTGACTCCCTTTTCTATATGGACAATGCTTATGGAATTAGAATAATAACTAGTGAATAATCTTTGTTATGTTTTATCTCTTTTGTTAAAATATATATGTGACAATCCTTCCTTCCTTCCTTTCTTCCTTCCTTCCTTTCTTCCTTCCTTCCTTCTTTCTGTCTTTCACTCAGGCTGGAATACAGTAGTGTGATCATAATTTATTCAGCCTCGACCTTGTGGTCTCAAGCAATCATCCTGCCTCAGCCTTCGACTAACTGGGACTACAGATGTGTAGCACCACACCATGTGACAATATTAGTAAAGTTTTCCATAGTGAGAGAAAGACACTTTAAAATATGTCCAGTTCATAATTAAACTTGCTATTTAAAATAAGTTTTTGCTACTTTTTTGCAGTGCTTAGAAACAAAACTCTTTATCTTTCAATATATTATACCCTAAAATATGTTTCAGTTTATGACAGAGATTTTATTCTCATTAATAAAAAAATACTATCCTCAAAAAAAGATTGAACATAAAGAAAACATTTTTACAGGCAAACAAAAAGGACGCCGATATGTGGACCTAAAATTAGAGATAATTGTATTTAAAAATATTAACATTAGGCTACATAGAAAGCTTACTCATCATTCTCTTGACATCATAATAATGGTTTATTGTCTTTAAAGACTGTGATCATATCTACTTAGACATGGTCATGAGCACTTTTTACAATGCAAACAACTGGTAATTTGAAGTTCCTGGGTTGTGATGGAGGTGTGTAGTCTATTCTTTACTCATTTGGCACAATGAAGTAATCAGCCCAGAGCAATAAATTATGTAATTAATCTCATGAAGCCAACAGTTTTATGTAAATGCTAGTGATTTATTTCTTTGCACATTTGAAAAGTTTAATTTCCATTTTTGCTCTGAAAATAGTTTTGAAGTAAATTGATATATTAAAATATATATCTAGCTTAATAAATTATTATAAATATAGTAGATATGCTAATGTTATTGTGTATCTTCAATCCATATTTTAAAGAGATGTACTTTAGTTATTATCTTTAATATATGCTTCACTTTGTATTTGAGAGAAAAATTTTATATATCATTTAAAGGCTCATGGCTAAGTGTTACCAGCAATCACAGAATGAATATGGATGGACATTTTGGGCAAATATGTTCCAATAAAAAAAAGAAACAAAATGTTGATGTATTAGTTTCATGGCATATTTTCGTCTTTTTTTTTTTTTGCTTTAGTAAATTCTTACTTGTCAAGAAAGTAACACAGACATATAGAGGTATTTCGTTTTGTCCAGTGCCTCCTAGCAGGGAAGCATGGGAGGAAAAAAGATGTCTTTGCATCTTTATTTTTTTATTTCAATAGGTTTTGGGGGAACAGGTGGTGTTTGCTTACATGAATAAGTTTGTACTGAATACCAGACTAGAAAAATTACTGAAGAAATGGGGCTGATAATATAAATACAGATAAATGGCAAAGTACTTTTAATTCCATTATGAATTCTGGTTAAATATCTCCATTTCTCCCATTAATGACAACTAGACAAGCTGGTCATTTTTAAAAAATCAATTTGATGCAGTCAGAGAAGAAACATAAAGAAGAATTTTTTTGTCCCAGGTCTACAAGATGTCCAGATAGAGAAGTGGCCAGTATCAGGTGCTGCTTTGTCCATGGCAGCCATTGCTTTTATTAGAAAAGGGGCTAAAAGGCTCAGAAAATGTTTTGAGATCTTCCCGTGTATAGACAGAAAGAGGTTGGAGACCAGGTCCTGTCCAGGTTTGGGGCTCTAATGGCACCACGGTGCAGGTAACACCTTGGACAGCTTGAACACAATGGATTGATATTTTCATGCTCTGGAGAAATAAATGTTATCCTAGAGCTCTATCAGCAGTGAGAAATGCCACTATATTTCATGAATGAAGGTTAAACAAGGACATATTTCATATACACATTAAGATGAACTATGAAGATTCAAGAAGGCATGATTAATTAGGTAAGAGGACTAATACTGATAGTATTGATAAGTAAAAATGCTAAAAATAATATACACCTACATACTATGAAAATACACAATAACACTAGCATATAAATCAGGAGGAAGTGAATTGTTTCAAAATGTCTTTCACAGTTGCCAAGAAGATAAAGGTGCTAAACTATAATAGACTTAGAAGAGTCAAGTATACATGTTTTAATCTCTAAAACTGCTAATGGAGTAGTAAAAAATATGAAGCTCTTAAGATAATGGAGTGGCAGGTGAAATAATTAAAATATTCAGCCATTCTAAAATACAGTAAGAAAAGACATAAAAAAGGTGATCAAGCAGATAGAAAAACTAAAAGAACATAACACATTTTAAAGCCACATGTTAATACTTATGTTAAATGCAAATAGACCAAATTTCCTAGTTAAAAAACACATATTTAAACTGAATAAACACATACACACACACACACACACACACACACACAGAGGGCAGTGAGATTATATATTTAAAGTATTGAAACAGAATAAAAATGCCAGCCAAGCCTACCACATCTAACAAAACTCTCCTACAAAAATGAGGGGGAAATTAAGAAATTCTCAGATAAACAAAAGCTGAGGGTATTCATTACTAAAAGACTTGCCCTACTAAAAAATAAAAATAAAAAAATTAAGTGGACCCTTTCATTTGAAATGAAAATATGCTAGACAGCAATACAGAAGTATAAGAAAACTTATATAAAATTCTCCAATAAAGGTAAATACATGGACAAATATGAAACTTGTATTATTGTAATTTTTGTTTATAACTCAATTTTCAGTTATTTTAAAAAATTTAACTACAAAAGCATAAAAATAACTTTAAATCCATATTAATTGATACACAATATATAAAGGTGCAGTTTGGGACATTAATAACATCAAGCAGGAGAGGGCAGAGCTATAAAGTAGTCATTTGTCTAGCTGGGCATGGTACACGCCTCTAGTCCCAGCTACTCGGAAGGCTGCAGTGGGATGATCACTTGAGCCTAGGAGACAGCCATGATTGTACCACTGCACTGAAGCTCAGGTGACAAAGTGAGACCCTGTCTCAAAAAAATAAATACATAAATTTTTTTGTGAGTTAGAAATTAAGCTGCTAACAGTTTAAAATAGATTGTTATACTTTTAAAATGTTTAATGTAATCCCTGTGACAGTTTGACGGTTACAAATTGAATATTTTAGGTAAGTTTGACATTTGAACTTCAGCTAATAATATAATAATTAAGTTCATTATTGAGTAATTTTAATAATTTTTGGAGATATTTTCTGAGACTCTTAAAGTGACAAATCTTGCACTAATTTTTTTGTATTAATTATTATGTTGATTATATTGCTTTATATTCAAATAAGCCCACTTTTACTCTTATTAATCCAGTAGGTATAATAGAAAAATTATTCATTGAGTCATTCATTTGTCTTAACAATATTCCTTCATATATTTTGAGCATAAAATATATTTTTGACATATATCATTGGTATAAAAATAATTTAGTGATGTTTTAAGATGAACTTATATATTTATTTACAATATTTTATGGTTCTGTGTTTACATCTACACTCACTTCCAGACACAGGACTACCTACATTCTATCTAATTTTCTTGTTTTTACAAGGTATCATTTTACTCAGTGTTTTAGAAATTGAATAGAAACTACAGTACTTATATTTTGGTCTAATTTTGATAGGCTTGTATTTATTATAAAATATCTTGAAAACAAATATGTCTTGAGAATGTATTTTTATATATAATGTTGTAAGTTTTCAAAAATAATTATGAGTTTTTTCACAGAAGCTTCTATTATGAAATATGGAATATGATTCACTTGTTAACATTAAATATATGTGTACAAACAAGGCTAACGACTTTAGTATTAAGAATATATTATTTGTGAGATATTGATTTAATAGCTCATTAAATATACAAATTATTCTGACTACATATATCACTGAAACTTATCTCCTTCTCAGGCCAAATAAATAAAATATTGCCCAAAACAGCTAAATAGTAAACTTGAATCTTTTAAAAACTTGACACATTGTGTATGAGTCTAGCTTAGACTTAAGAAATACAGAATATTTATTAAGGTATTTATAAATTTCTTCTCTACGGCTAAAATTCACAGGCATTTTTAAATATTTTACCCAGTGGGCTATCCCAGTCTTGCTTGTTATTATCCTTTCTGCAATTCAAACCTTAAATTCTGCCATTAAATAAAACAGTTTCATATTTGATGAAAAGTACTTTACATCCCTCTACAAAAGCTATTCAGTTATTCCATAGTGGTGATAGATTATAGTTTAAGAGCTTATCAAAGTGAATGGGCCATTTTATAGAATCTATTGTAATTTTTAGACTTTTAAGTATTTAGTTAAATTGTAACAATGTATTATTTAGAGTTGAAAGTGAAGAATTATTGATAAATGGAGACAATCCAACCTCAGATCTACCCTTAGCTTGTATCTGTTACATCTATATACTTCTCATCAGAAGTCAATTTAATTGATAAACAAGAGTATTTAATATCACCTCAGAGTCACATTCCATGTTTATTGTAACAGTGTGACTTTCGTAACATAATAAAACTCTTGAAGGCTTAGTTTTCCCATCTGTAAAATGGGATAAGTTCTACCCAGTTTTGGTGAGGATGTAAAAACCAAGATAGCTGTGGGTCTCTAAAGTATTAGGTATTGAAAAAATGAGAGTATTTCTCTCTCTCATCATTGTGAAAGTCAGTCATTGTATGTGTTTGTTTTCTGATATCACTAACACATCCCATAAGTAGAAAGGCAGGATCTTTTTTTTCTTCTTCTGATATATTTTTTTGCTTCAACCCCAGACATGGTCCCTGTCACCATCCACCTCGACTTCATGTATCTTCTGCTTCTACCCGTGTAACAAGTACATGTATGTAAATAATACTATTAATAACATTTGAAACTGTCTACGTTGTATGTAAAATGATGCCACAGGTTTTTAAATACTACAAAATCTGCAGCTCCAATTAATACATTAAAAAATGAAGAAAATTGTTTTAAATAATCAAATATTAGTACCTAAATGTTTCAGAGTCAGATTATGGAACAGCCTCAAAGAAATTACATTTGCTGAAATTCATTAGTTGATTATTAATTACATGTCTCCTTTTTGGGGACTCAGTATCAATGGTGAAGTTTAAAAACATATCTGGGTATCCAATTGGTCATGTGTGCACTAGCTAAAATAAACAGTTTTAGAGTTCAGCGTACTTGGGTTGAAATTTCATCCCAGTCTTGTATGTCCTGTATGACATTGGGAAAGTACTAAATCTCAGTTTTCCTATCTATAAAATGGTCTAGCAAAAACATGTATCTCAATGGGTTATTGTGAGGAAAAGAGTCAACAGGATAGTGGTATATGCAAAGAAAATATACGGTTGTTTGTTTGTTTGTTTGTTTTGAGAGGGAGTCTCGCTCTGTCGCCCAGGCTGGCGTGCAGTGGCGCGATCTCGACTTACTGCAAGCTCCGCCTCCCAGGGTCACGCCATTCTCCTGCCTCAGCCTTCCGAGTAGCTGGGACTACAGGCGCCCGCCACCACATCCGGCTAATTTTTTGTATTTTTGGTAGAGACGGGGTTTCACCGTGTTAGCCAGGGTGGTCTCGATTTCCTGACCTCGTGATCCGCCCGCCTCGGCCTCCCAAAGTGCTGGGATTACAGGCGTGAGCCACCGCGCCTGGCCATAAGTTTTAACTATATGTAATTTACTAAAGCCTTTTACTGAATCATCTGAATTTAAAAAAATAGCTTTATCTACATTAAAGTCTTATGAAAAATGTTATAGTCAAATTCGGACATCATAGAATTTAGCTAGCATAGTAGATGAAGTAAATAATAAAATCTAATAACAATAAAATCTACCTATAATTAATCCCTTGCAATGCGATAGACCTCTTAGTAAATCGAAGCATTTTTTTTCCCCTTTGGATTCTTTGTCAGACCAGTGCTAAACACCAGTGTATATTTTGGTGTTAACTTTGGTTATTACAATTGTTGCCTCTGCTGCATTTCTTTATAGCAAGCTTGAATTAAAAGTGCTTGAACATTGAAAAATTTTAACTGATGAGAAGATTCATATTTTATTCATCATGTGTTATAGGGTTTATATGAGACTGAACAAAATGCAGCTAGTGTTAAAATATTTAGTCATAAGGTAACATAAAAACTTTAAGTCACAATATTATTCTATGAAATATGCATGACTGTTATATTTAAGAAATATATATGGATTTTTAAAGTATGTATTTTCAGTTTTCTCTGACAGTGTTTTCATTTTCATTTTTTTTTCCAGATTGACTAGTACTTAAAACAACCTCAAAATACGTATATTTTCTCAAAAATAACTGCAAGAGTAATGGGCATTGAGATAGAAGGTTCTTATTCCTCTTTATTTAAATCTGTAAAGCAAAGTGGCAAATTAAAACTGAGATACTATTATATTCAATTCATAACATAATTTGATACAAATGAAAACTTTTTTTACAAGGTAACAAAGTAACTGAAAATGAGTAGATCCAGCGCAAGTGAGACAATGTAACCATCTTGAGGCATTAACCTAGGAGGCCACTGTTGTGAAAACAGAAAATGTGAGGAACACGAGGATTGACTTAACTATGGGGCTGCAAACTTAATATTTTAAGTCATGTTACTCATACACTAAGTATTGAGGTATTTTTATGTTTTTTTCAAAACTAAATAAGTTCACTGAAACTTAATCAGCCTGAATAGCCAGAATGTTTTAAATAGAGCATTGTAAATTTTGAGACATCATATTTTCTACTTTTTTTTTTTTTTGCTAGGGTCCCAAGTTTTGCTATATTCAGGCTCATGGTACAGTAGTTTTGTTGTGAGTTTACATTCCTAATTATTGTGTGTTATCATGATGCGTATTATTCCACTCATGATTTTCCCTATCCTCCTCCTCTTCAGCTATTTTTCTCTCCTAATATCATTAAAAAGCAAAAATTAAACAATTGAACATATAATAATAATTAATGCATCCATTACTAATAACTCCATCATCATCCAAACCATCTCTTGTTTTTTATGTTGTGTAAATAAAGTCATATAGATGCCTAAGAATGTCAAATGACTATGAATTAATTTATTTGCCTTTGAACAACAAAGTCCTAATGAAATCATGTCATTGTGAGAGAACATAGAAATACTCTCAAAGAAAGTATCACTTATTTTAATGTTTAAATACAAAACAGCTGAAAATAACTGTCTCAGTGAGTGATATTGTACTGGGAAAAGGACAATCAGATTCAGAGAAGTACTTTTATGTGTACTTTTTAATTTTTTTTTTCTGTGTTGTCATATAAATATATACACATACAGATATCTATATAGCAATTCTGGTAAAATTAGTGGATTTAAAATATGTGAGCATTTGATTATGTTATTTTAAAGTTGTGTATTCATTGTTCAAAATATAACAGTGATTATAATTGTGGTTAAATTAATTGTTGGTTTTAGCGGGTGTTGTATAATTTAGCATGGTACATGTAAGAATATTGGCAGGCTTTATACTGATATGATGAGCTATTTCTGTGGTAGAAGGAAGACGCACAGCCACAAGAATTGTAGAATTCTTTCTGAATTTTTTTTTTGTAAACTAATATAATCTATATTGCCATTATTTCTGTCCCTGTCCCAAAAAAATAATTCCAATAAACAAAGACCTGCAGGCGTCTGATCTTATCCAAAAACTGAAACACAATAAATGAGGTGATTAAACTAAAAGGCAAAGAAATATAGAAAACTAAATGAAGTGTATACTGATCTGAGATAATGCTGGTAACAACGTCAACATTCATACCATAAAATAAATACATGATTACTAAATAAATTTTAAAATAATTTCACCATATTTGTGAAAAATGTTGATTTGCTGTTTGGATAGATGTTGATTATAAAATGTAGACTGTGTCCAAATTATCAAAGAATGATTTAAAATATACAGTGATTCTGACCAGTTTATTGACTAATATGACTAGTTGCATATTCAATATCTTTTTTGAAACATTGTGTACATAGTAAAGATTTAAGAGAATCAAGGTTACGACTATTGACTCTAAAGCTATAGGGGAACAGTTTGCCAGACCTAATTGTCTTCAGGAACTGGTCTGAGCAAAAATTGAGATTTGATTCCTCTCATTTCTTCTTCCTCATTTCTTTATTGCTTTAATCTTTGTGATTTCTAATCACTTTTCTAAAATTTAAACAGACAAAATACATTTATGTATAATTAGAAGATAATATTCTTGCTTTTCAAATGTATCTGAGTCATGTATTTTATTACATATATTCAGATTATTTCTCTTATGGAAATTATATAATGAAATGGATGGAAACTTAATGTAGTGCAGACGTCTAGAAAATGAAATGAGTTATTTCATTTAATTGAAACGTTCATATGAACTTTTTGGAAACTGACAATTAAATGCATACTCACTGTGATTTTCACCGTCTTTTGATACATTCTGCCAGTTCTAAACCTTACCTGCATGTACGAGATAGTAGATAAGGACGGTTTCCTGCAGTCTCTTGATCTCAATTATCTTTTTCATTCCCTTTTCTTGAAGATTTAATTAGATCTCATTGTCTCCATCATCACTGTTAATTTCATATTTCCAAAAGTCAACTTTTTAGCTCCTCCTTATGTCATAACTGCACTTGGATATTCAGCTTAACACGATAAATATCAAAATCATTTACATATTTTAAAAATCACATTGCCGTGACCCTATTATCTTAATGATCCAACTAAAGTTCATGGGGAGAAATTCTGACCAGATCCCTATTTTAGTACCAGTTTTTCTACAAATTTTACTCTTAAAATTTCCTTCAGACCATGTTTCCTAGGTCCTGTTTCTCCATTCTATGGTTTCTTTTTCAAATTATTTGTGTAAATGCATTCGTGTTTACATAAATTTGTTTATCTTTCAAGACACAATAGGAGTTCTCTCTTTCTGGAAGCTATGTCGGAATTCTAAATTAATTTATGTTACCACATTTGTACTTTGCTAGTTCCTTTTGCATGTCTTTATCACAGCAATCGCCATATTACATTGACATACGGTTTTCAAGTATGTCATCACCAATGTATGAGTTGTTTAGCAGCCAACAGACAATCTGGAGTTCAGTAAAATTGGATGAAGTAAACTGAATTAGACAACAAATGTACTACGGCTCTATGGAGCCTGTCATTATTCCACTCAAGAAGTAAATCACTTTAAACTGTTCACTTTGTACTTGTCCCAAGCCCTCCAAATGTAATTTATTTTTTGAGAAACAATATTGATATTTAACCATTATTTTAATTAATCACTACTTGTTTAGGGAAATTGTACTATCAGTTGCTCTTGCAATAAAATTATTATACAGCATTACATCCTTTAAGAAAGCTTAATTTTATTCATATGTATCTTTTTTGTCACTTCTAAGAACTCATGTAGTGCCATAACTAAGTAAAAGACTGCGTATCCCACGCTTTCTCATTCTCTTTTCCCATCATACAATATTTAGTCCATTATTTAAGATGTTATTCATGAGTCACCTTTGATGAGAGGAGGTCTCTGATATTGATATTCTAATATACTCTGAACATATAAAAACATAAATCTGTAAGTTAGAATTAAATGATTAAATAGACATGTTTCTGAGGACTCAACATGGGAAATAATATTCCCTCTAACAAATAATTTTTACTTATAAAAATGATTAAACATGTAAGTCTTTAAAATTTTGGCGAATCCTCAGTATTTGGAAAAAGTAAACCTAACCAAAATGAAAGGATTAACACATTCCCTAGGAGATGGGTCTCTGCTTTTGAAGAAAGAGTAGCTTGAATTAACTTTAAATTGCTTTATTTCCCAGAGCTGGAATGTGGTCCCCAAACTAGGTTTTTAATTGGTTCCTGAAGCTCTTTTTTCTCAAATAAAATCATCAAACTCACTCTAAAATGGAATTTGAAACCACATTAGCCCAAGGCAGTAAAAAGCAAAACAAAACTTAAGTTCAAAGTTTTTTTTAATCTATTTTTACTTGTTGTGAAATCCCTAAAAATGAAAAATCAACATTGTTTAGTCTAATGTTTGTTTTTTTTTCTTGAGCGGTGACAATCACAGGAGGAAACTCCTTTTAATATAAGGCAACTTGTACTGAAAATATGTACGAGGTTTTTAAAACTAAGGGAAAACAATTCAAATATAAGTAAGAATTTTAAACATAGGCCAGGCGCGGTGGCTCAGGCATGTAATCCCAGCACTTTGGGAGGCCGAGGTGGGTGGATCACTTGAGGACAGGAGTTTGAGACCAGCCTGGCCAACATGGTGAAACCCCGTCTCTACTGAAAATACAAAAATTAGCCAGGCGTGGTTGTGCAGCTTTTAGTTCCAGCTACCCAAGAGGCTGAGGCAAGAGAATTGCTTGACCCCTGGATGTGGAGGTTGCAGTGAGCTGAGATCACGCCACTGCAGTCCAGCCTGGGCAACAGAGTTAGAATTCATCTCAAAACAAAAAGAAAAAAAAAAGAATTTTAAACATATTTGGCAGCAGCTTTACAATATTAAATTAAACAGATTAGTGGAAAGAGTAATTCTATTTTAGCATTTATTTTATCTATTACTTTCTCTTGCCATATGTGTATTGTGCCTGCCATGAAATAAGTCATTATTTAACTTAAAGAGGGTCAATGAGGTGTTGAAGATGGAGTTTTCTTCTTTTACTCTTAACAATGGGTATGTATAATTTGTTTAAAAGAAATTTAAACCTGCTTATTAAAACCAGAAAAAAACAGAGAATACTCTCCTAGCTCTCAGCATTTATGTATTGCACAAGGTTTATTCTATTACATTGGGTGTAAAACATTACCATGCACTGTTTTAGTCCATTGTAAAGTTTTAGTCCACTTCTCTACACACCACAAACCTTTTTGTTTCTTTTCTTCTTCTTTTTTTTTTTTTTTTTTTTGAGACAGAGTTTTGCTCTTGTTGCCCAGGCTGGAGTGCAATGGCGCAATCTCGGCTCACCACAACCTCCGCCTCCCAATTCAAATGATTCTCCTGCCTCAGCCTCCTGAGTAGCTGGGACTACAGGCATGCACCACCATGCCCAGCTAATTTTGTATTTTTAGTAGAGACGGGGTTTCTCCATATTGGTCAGGCTGGTCTTTAACTC
Organism: Homo sapiens; assembly: GCF_000001405.40. Lineage (NCBI taxonomy): Eukaryota > Metazoa > Chordata > Mammalia > Primates > Hominidae > Homo > Homo sapiens. The sequence continues at coordinate 85,317 of NW_009646199.1, read as the reverse complement.
CCGACTTCAGGTGATCTCCCCACCTCAGCCTCCCAAAGTGCTGGGATTACAGGCTTGAGCCACTGCGCCCAACCCACAAACCTCTTTCTGAATGATGCAAAAAGTGAAGTAAAGTTTTTACAGAGCCTAGCTAATATCATCCTTAATTTCTGGCCTTTTATCATTACTTATGCTTACTAATTAGCTATATTTTTTGTTTGTTTTAGAAAATTGAGGGTACTGTTCATGTTACTAAACTCTAAGCCATTCATAATGCTATTACTGCAGGACAACTAGACCATTTTAAACAGCAAAATCAACATCAAAGAGCATATATATATATATATATATATATATATATATATATATAAAGACAGAGAGAGAGAGACAGAGAGAGGGATTTTAAAAAATGGGGAAATTCAGAGAGTTGATTCTCACCAATTGTTATGGCCTCAAAGTCACTGTAAACACTACGTAACCAACACTAAGCTATTGCTCCTAAGGGAAATACAGGGTGAGGTTTCTGTGAGCCTCTGATCATAACATTTTTTAACCTGATAATCCATAACTTTGTTTTATGTGCATTTCTGTTTAATTTTTGGGAAAAAGCTAAGTGTTGGGAGAAGCTGAGGCAGGGCTTGCATGTCTGACATAATGTAAAAGAGTCTTGGAACATGTCCGGGGTCCAGGGTCTGAAACCCCTTGTGGCTTTTGGAACACCAAGCTTTGTGCTAAAGGATGGAAGGCTACCCTGATGTACCATAATCTCAGCCCAGGGCATAAAATCCCTTGTGGCTTGAGTAGAATCCAGGGCTCATGGCTCTGGAATGTGTCTAGATTTGCTTGCTCCTTGCTCTCCCAGGATCAATTGTATCTTGAGTTAAAAGAACCTGCTCTCTATTATCTCAAGTAGCAGAGCAAATGCTAAACCATCACAGCTGAAAATCATATGCTTAATACAACGCGTCCTTTTGACCTCCACATTCTCACCACCTGTTTCTCTGTTGGATTACCAATAAAGAGCATGGGCTCCCAGAGCTCAGGGCCTTCGCAGCCTCCATACACTAGTGATGGCCCTCTGGTCCCAGCTTTCTCTCTCAAACTGTCTTTTTCTCAATCCTTTGACTCTGTCGGACTTTGTCACTCCCATGACCTGGTGTCGGGTCTGATCACCCCAATATTTAATGACACCTTATTTGATACATATGGTGTATGCTTAAACTTTGAACTTATTATCAACAGTGCTGTAACTCATGTCTGAGCAAGCTTATTTAACACACGTATTTTTTCTGTAAGATGCATCACAGCCTTCCGGGTATGATGCATTCTTATGATTTTATGTTGCCTTAGTATCCATTCTGAATTTAGGTTTTACTTTCTCACAGCAGAATTGGGACTTAGTCACCCTTGACTCGGTTTCCAGTTCACCATTCCCTTCCGGTCCTTCCATGTGGTTGATCTAGATATCTGCCTTAAACATCTGCATCCAGGTGACCACTTTTCTATGGGATAGCTGGATACAACCTACTTGACAACCCCCACTGACCTCCACACCCCACACGGACTAAGCAGACATGCAGCAGTGCCCACCTCTCAGTCACAGAATGATTCCATGGAACTCAGGCCATCAATTAGAACTCTGAGAAAAACATGCTCGGGCAACACACCGGACTCCAATAGAGGCTTTGACCTACAGGGCCCTCACTTTCTCTTTTGCTCCCCACATGCTGGCAGAGCTTGTGTTTCCTGAATGGCTTCCCCCTTCCTGTTGAAACTGCAAGGCCTGCTGCCCTTTGCTCTCTGGGATCTGTAAGTAATCAACAGCTTCTGTTATTTCATGTGATTTATTGAGTTGCCTTCTCTAGGTCTCACCCATCTGACACACACAAACCTAACTTCTTTCCTGCTCAGGGCTGTCTTAGAGAGTGACTATCTTGGTAAGAATAAACTGGACACAGATCAGAGAATAGCCACAAGGGCATCTCCCAGTATCAACTTTTCTGTGAGAGGAACATCTTGTCATGGGTTGACATTTGGGTATCAGGCATTTGCCATAATAATTAAGAATCCTATGAAAGGCACACTGTAAACCATGCCCACATTCCCTGGAGCCGCATAAGGACAGGGTGAGAGTTTGTTGCCACTGTCCTGAAAGACCTCAAGACCAAATTATTAGAAAAAAAAATACAACACTTGAGCTTAGGAACACTAGACGGCACATCAGCGCTGCACTTCGGGACCATTTTAAACAGTGAAATCAACATCAAAGAGCATATAAATGTGAAAAATGTGACACTCAACAGGCCTCAAAAGCGACACTTCTTTGCAGTGCAAAAGTTAAAACAAGAAAGTAAATTGTCACCTTGCTCAGCCTCACCTGGAAAGATGCACATCAGACAATTCAAAGTTTTCACTGCTCTAAGCATGTCCACAAAAGACCATAAAAGTGATGTGAGCATTGGTTTGGACTTTGTACATAAATTGTAGTGAAGAGGCTATTTAGCCTACTGTCAAATACAAAGCCTCAAATACAGAAACATGAGAATAAGGAGAATAGACTCTCTCTCTCTTTATATATATATATGTGTGTGTATATAGGTGTGTATATATATATACACACACAAATGTACACATGTGCTATATACATACGTGTATATATAAAATAAAAAATATTTTCTGTATATGTATAGAAGCGTATGTGTATATATGTTTTTATTCATGCACATACATATAGGTGTGTAGTATTTGGAAATATGTATATGCATATGACTTGAAAATTTAGATGAAGGGGTGTAGAAGAGATTTAATTTTTTACAGTTTAACAATGCCTTCATAAATATACAGTAGTCCAGTAAACTTGGTATGAGCTTTACAAATATGTCATCTCATAATTGCCCTTTCAATAAATTGACATTCTCTATAGTTCTTAATATTTAGGACAATATTTACCTGAATTAAGAAAAACTTGTACATTCTGTAGAAGATTATACAACAGCAATCTCCCTATGTTCTTGGAACTTTAACAAGAAAGCATTTATAGAAAACCCACTTCCCCAAATGTAGAGTATATACTGTGTTAGGCTGAATGCTGATTCCCCCAAGGATACCCATGTCCTAATCCCCAAAATGTGTAAATATGCTGGGTTACATGGCAAGGAGAAATTAAATTTGCAGATAGAATGAGTTTGCTTATCAGTTGTTCTTAAGGTAGAGAGATATCATGGATTTCCTGTCTCTAATCTTCTCACTGTGCAAGAGTCAACTGTACATATATTTTCAGTTGATTCCCATGCAGCCAAAAATTCACTGTAACATTTGACTTCCCAAAGACTTAGCTACTAATAGCCTACTGTTCACCAGAAGTCTTACCAATAACGTAAATAGTTGATTAACACGTAGTTTGTATATTACACATATTCTATGCTGTATTCTCACAATAAAGTAAGCTGGAGAAGAAAACGATATCAAGAAAATCATAAAGAAAGAGGAAATATATTTACTATTTATTAAGTGGACCATCATACAGTTCTTTCTCCTGTCACCTTTAGCTGAGTAGGCTGAGGCAAACGAGGAAGAGGAGGGGTTGGTCTTGCTGTCTCAGGGGTGACAGAGGTGGAAGAAAATTCATATATAAGTAGATCCACATAGTTCAAACCTGTGGTTCAAGGGTCAACTGTAATTATAAAGGTCCTTAAAAATGGGATGGCTAAGCAGAAGAGGAAAGTCAGAAAAAGAGGTAAGATGACAAAACAGTTTCAGAGTAATATGATGTCAGGACTTAACCCTCCATTGCTGGCTTTGAAGATGGAGGATAGGGCCATAGACTAAGGAAGATGGACAGCTTCTAGAAGCTGGAAAAGGCAAGGAAATGGATTCATCCCTAGAGTCTCCAAAGGGAATGCAGCCCTGCTGATTTTAGCTCAGTGAGATTTCAGATTTCTGACCTGAAGAACTATAAGATAATAAACTTATAAGACAATAAATTTAGTTGTTTTAAGCCATTAAATTTGCAGTGATTTGTCACAGCAATAGAAAATTAGTACATCTCTTCACCCTCTGTTCTGTCTCTCTAGCTCTGTACATATAAATATGCTCATATATGCACATTGTACATATATTAAAATATAGAAAACATGTAAAATTTTTTTGAGATGGAGTCTAGCTCTGTCACCCAGGCTGGAGTGCAGTGGTGCGATCTTAGCTCACTGAAACCTCCTCCTCCTGGGTTCAAGGGATTCTACTGCCTCAGCCTCCTGAGTAGCTGGGACTACAGGTGCACACTACCCTGCCTGGCTAATTTTTATATTTTTAGTAGAGAGTGGTTTCACCGTGTTGGCCAGGCTGGTCTTCAACTCCTAACCTCCGGTGATCTGCCCGCTTTGGCCTCCCAAAGTGCTGGGATTACAGGTGTGAGCCACCGCTCCCAGCCATGTAATTTTTATGTGTAGTAAACAGATACATTAGCTACATTAGCTACCTGTTATTTGTACTACATATTAGCATGCCTTTTAATATTCTGATTCAGATAATTCTAAATAGTAACTCTACTCATATATGAACACATGCTTCCTTTCAACCTGTACTTCTTCAGTTTTATATTTTAGAGAAGAAAAGCCTGAGTTGGTTCCATGAAATGAGGAATAACCATTAATATTTGGCACATAACTTAAATTCAAGGAGATTTGAAATCTGGCTTTCTCAACAGCAAATTTGCTCCTCATACCAGTATTAGGCCTTCTATTCCCTGATCGAACTCCTTATTACAGAGAAGTCCATGAAACCTGTGTAAGGGAGGGAGGGGAAACTTACATTACTTCAAAAACTGACCTCAGAATTCTTCTCAGGAAAGGAGCTGTGTTCATTGAACATGTTTTGAGAGGACATTTGGAACAAGTAAGACTCTGAAGATGTGAGAAGAGAACAGGAACTTGAACAGTAAAGACAGATGGCATGGCTGTACTAAGTTAAAAATAGGAATAATGATGGAGAGATACCAAGCAACCATATTAGCAATTTCATTAAAGATATTATATCCCCATAGGACAATTTATTGTAAGACTGTGTTGCTTTGGTTGAATATAGTCTCAGTTTCTGAAAGTTGTGTTGTCTATAGCAGAAGGGGGCAGCCTCTGCCTCAGGGATTCTCTCTTCTAATCTCTCCACATCTACCACTCACTAACTTACAAGGGCCAAAGAGTTTTATTAATGTAACAGAAAATTGGAAGATAATTTTATTTAGAAGGAAGGAATTTTTACACACTGAGACTTGTCTTCTCTCTTCCCAATACCAGCCATTTCCCACTGGTTTTCTGTTGTTTGAAACATTTCAATTCAATGACTTGTATAGATCAAGGGTGCATTGCATTGGAAAGTTTTTATAATATTTTAATTTTTTCCATTTTGCTATTTATTTGGCCCTTAATTTTACATTTTGTAAGTATTTTCATCTTGCAAACATGTCTGAAAATATAACTTGGCCATTTTTAAATGCAGGTATTAGAGGAAACAATTATTTGCCTAGGTCTATAGAAAATTCTGAGGTTCTTCATGATGAAGAGCACCTCTAAGTTATTAACTAACCCCATGAACAAGAGACTGCAAAAAAGTTAGTCTTTACAATGAAAGCTATTTATCAATGACTTTTATATGTGCTGGTAATACATGTTATTGAAGTCCATTAAGAAATAACATGTAAATATGGCAATGGCTGCAGAAAAATTAAAATTCTCTAAACTATGTTTCATAACCAGTTGAGAAATGATGGAGATATTGGACTCTCAAAGTGAACAAAATAAAACCTTTGTTTACAAACTTCTATTCAGTGCAAATGATAAGGAAAAAAGTCATTTAGTAACAATAAAAATTATCATCTGAAATATAAAATTCATAATTTGTGAGAATCTAATAATTTTGCATGTGTAGCAACTAAAATGCTAGCAAAAGATGCAGTGTGAGAAAATGAAGAGTTTTACTCTCAAATAGTACTACATATTGAAGTATTGATGATAAGTTACATCCTATGAAGATGTTTTATAATACACAGGAAAAAAGCAAAGAACAAACCCAAACGTCTTACTCCATTTATTACATCCATTACAAAATACCTTAGATAGAGTAATTTATACATAATAGAAATTTATTTCTCCTAATTCTGGAACCTGGGAAGTTCAAGATCAAGATGCTGGCAGGTTTAGTGTCTGGCGAGGGCACCATTCCTCATTGATGGTGTCTTGTAGCTACATCCACATGTGGATGAAGGGCATAAAGCTGTATTCTTATGTGGTAGAAAAGCAAAATGGATAAAGGTGCAAAGACTGCCTCAGGTCTTTTTATCGGGGTGCTAATTCCATTCATAAGAGCAGAATCCTCATGATCCAATTACCTATTAAAATCCTCACCTCTAAATTCTGTTGCATTAAGGACTAAGTTTCAACATGTATTTTGAAGGTACACAACCATTCAAAGCAAACACCAAATTCCATAAAACATGTCAAGCTAAGCACTCAAATAATTTTTAAATAATGATGAATGTTAAAAAATATGCTTTCTTGTTACAAAGAGCTGGGCACAACAAGCACAAGACAAAATTATACTTAGATTTTTATTCATAGCTGAAAACAAAATTCATTCTTGGAGGTACTGTGTTGGCTTCTGTACTGACAGTGCATTACCAACCACTGGGTCTAAGGAGGATTATGCTTCTTGTAGAATCAAGCAAATCCTGCATCTTCCCAACAAACTGAATGCTTTGTCGAGAGGCACTTGTGCCAAAGACATTGGAGATTAAATGAAAAAAATATAGATAATGCTACAAAAAGTCATATGTATATTATTAAAGAAAAACAAGTACACCTGAGAATTTTTGAGGAAAAAAAAATGCCTGAATGTTTGAGAGAAACCTCCTGTACATGTAGAAATCCAATAGGTTACCAAAGGATCTGTTTTTCACAGGGTGTTCAGCTGAAAGTTGAAATGCGTGAATACATACAAGAAAAAATAAGCCACATTTTGCTGAGTGCTTTGATGATTAAAAAAAAAATGGCTGCAGAATTTAGCCCACATAACAGACATTTACCATCATATGATACAGTGGAACAAGCATCTGTAAGACTCTGGAGAAACATTTTTATAATATAATGAGATTTTTGGATTTTAAGCGAAATTGAATCTATGTGAAAATCAGGTTGCAAAACGAAATTTTGAAATGTTCCTATTGCTGCTTGGTATTCAGAGAGTAGGTGGCTATCAACAAGACATTAAGTCTTATTGTAAGAAAACTGGATGATTTGCCCAATGAAGTTATACAGTTTTTTTTCCCTTTCAACACAAAATATGCTTGGGTGGAAATTCTTTTCTCTGAATCTTCTGCTCAGCCTGAAAACTTGATTTTGATAGAAGAGGAAGAATTTTGCCTGGTGAGTAGCTAAAATAATATTTTGAGGTCTTTATGTTCTAATGCCAATATATGTCATCTAGAATTTTGTCTGTATTGATTATTTTTTTCTCTTGCAAATGGATCATGCTTTCCTATTTCTTGATACATTTCATAATTTTGAATTGGATTCTGGACATTTTGAATGTTATGATAGGGAGAATATGGGTTATCTTCTATTTCTCTTAAGAATGCTAATATTTTTCTATTTCATTTTAGCAGGCAATTGATTTGACAGTTAATCAAATAATAAAACTCTTATTTTCTGAAGTAGGTGGCAGATCAAATTTTCATCCTTTTTTTTTAGCTTTGGCGGACCTATGAGAAGGCCTGTGGGAAGTTGGCCCCATGCTTTTCTGGTTCAGGAGTGAGCTATATATTTGGGCAGAATTCATACACGGAATTCATAGATCCACTTCCCTGGCTCTCTCCTTTCTGGAATTTTTCCCTTTAGATTCCAGTGGCTGTGATTGCCGTAAATTCTGGCTTCTGGTGTTTTCAAAACGATGAGACTGTGAGTTTTTCTATTGAAATGTTAGCCTTCCTGTCAGATATAAATTTGGGCTATCTCATGATAAAAACAATGACATGAGTAAATCACTCTTCATCGTATCTTCATCCCTGTTTCCAAGTGTAACACTCCTTCCAGTGTCTGCTTTGTTTTTCCACAATCTTCCACTTTCAGGTACTTGTTTTTATATATTTATTTTTCTAAAAACTACAGTTATCTTTCTTTACTCAGTTTAAAATTACTGAAATCAACAGTAAAAATGTAAAACAATAAAAATCTGATCTTTCACATACCATATGTTAGAAAACATATTTCATTAGAATATTTTTAGTACAGGCCAGAGGCTGTGGCTTATGCCTATAATCCCAACACTTACGGGGGCCGAGGCCAGTGGATCACTTGAGACCGGAAGTTTGAGACCAACCTGGGCAACATGGTGAAACCTTGTTTTTATTAAAATTACCAAAAAAAAAAAATTGCCAGGCATAATGTTGTGTACCTGTGATCCCAGCTACTGGGGAGACTGAGGCACAAGACTAGTTTGAATCCAGAAGGCGGAGGTTGCAGTGAGACGAGATCATGCCACTGCACTTCAGCCTGGGTGACAGAGCGAGACTCTTGCCTCAAATATATATATATTTGAGGCAAGAGTCTCGCTATATATATATATATATATAGTTTATATATATATAGTTTATATATATACAGTGTGTGTGTATATAGTGTATATATATAGTTTATATATATATATAGTGTGTGTGTATATATATATATACATATATATATATGTAGAAATTAGTTATAGGATATTTAGGCCGAATAGAACACTACTCAGATAAAGCAAGGTATCAAGCAGAACTTTTTTTTTTAACTAAAACACTGTGGGAGGGTGAAGTTTTGTTTTGTTTTATTCCACACTAATGACTTGCCTTGCAGTCGATGTCCTTCTGAGAAAAGAGAACCAAATAGAAAAATCATATTTATAAATTGACCAAATAAATAAATCTGGAGGAAAATATTATCTACTTAAAAGATAATTGAAAATTGTTAATAGATTATCATGTCCTCAAGCATATATCATTTTTACATATTGTATGCTATAGATAGAATGTTCTTCTTTTACTGCAGAGATTTTCTGAGACCTGACCAGTTTTTAAAGTATCTCTCCAGGATTAAAAAATCATTCACTTTTGATCATTTGAAAATGACTTAAAGTTAATAAAGATCTATAAAATATCATTAAGTAGGACTGTGAGATGGCAATACTTTGGTTTTGATTATATAGAACTCAATACTTACTTGAGAAAACAAACACACAGAAAAATGATTAAATAGAAAAATCACCATTTTGGTACCACGGCAGTCCTGTTAAAAATGGGAAGTGTTGGCCTGGCACAGTGGCTCACGCCTGTAATCCCAGCACTTTGGGAGGATGAGGTGGGCGGATCACGAGGTCAGGAGATCGAAACCATCCTGGCTAACATGGTGAAACCCCACCTCTACTAAAAATACAAAAATTAGCTGGGTATGGTGGTGGGCGCCTGTAGTCCCAGCTACTTGGGAGGCTGAGGCAGGAGAATGGTGGGAAACCAGGAGGCGGAGCTTGCAGTGAGCAGATATTGTGCCACTGCACTCCAGCTTGGGCGACAGAGTGAGACTCCATCTCAAAAAAAAAAAAAAAGAAGTGTTAATTGACATGTGATGGGTATTTTCATTTTTTCATGTAGTTATTAGAATTTTTTTTTTTACATTTCAAAAAACTAACTTTCTTTTTACTAACATGTTTCGACAGTAAACCTACCTCATCAGTCTCTTTAACACAAACATGACAGCAATGCAACTGGAAGGTTTTGGAGATAATGATGCAGACCCATGGAATCGGATGTAGTTGGACTGGGGTGGGAGACACAGGTGTATTATTTATGCTTGCAAAGGAGTGGTGACAATTTACCATGGTACTAATACTTCCTGGCTTGAATTGAATATGTTTTGAAATATGAATGATTCATTTAAAGGCTGAAACATTTAACATTGACATCCAAGCAGCATTTCCTGAATTCCTGTTGGTACAGAAATAGAAAATATTATGAAATATCACTATCACATTATTGGGGTAACTTTCTTTTTTTGTATTTGTGGATTGATACTTCAAATAGAGTGCTGTAGATTGCGTTGAGTGCATGCAATTGATTTTGATACCCTTTACATTCCTAATTACAATGTTTAACTTGCCATGCGAGGCATATTTTATGCAAAAGAAAATATTTTTGTTTTACATAGGCATTAGTTTAAATAGTAGATTGACATTAAAAAAAGAAATATTCAAGCATAAAATGAATTTGAAAGTAATTTATATTAAAGATTCACAACACCATGTTATTCTTAAGTGCTAAAACAAATATTCTCTCATATTTTCCCGATGGCTAATATGGCTAACATATGGAGAACTAAAGCATTGATTTGACAATGACCCAAATAATGACGCAATTATAACCTTTTCAAGAATGATTTAAAACATATTCTAACCTTTTCATCATTTCATTTTTTACTATGAGAAGATCATTACTCAAAAGGGAAGGGAATGATTTTGTAGTTGGCTCTTGCTAAGAGTTATATTTCAGTTTCTCATTACAATGAAATGTAAAGCACAAGAGGAGGAGGATGGGGGAAACTCTACCACCTCCCCCCCTTGCAGTTTTTCATGTGTGATACTCAATATGGTTTAAAAATCTAAGAGAACAACCCATTTTGTTTCAGCCCCAAATCTGTCAACCTGTTGATGGGGCAAATGCACAATATATTTCATTGGAATGCTGCCACATGTAACATTTATTTGCAAAATGCAAGGAAGATTTTAAAGGAAAAACTTCATAACCTAGGAATTTAATTTAAAAATGCCGAGTGAACATTAAACTAGATGAAAATTGCAAACCTTGATCATGAAAATTAAATTATAACACTCCTTGATTTGTTGAACATAATAATGCTTATTGAAATGAGTCAAATGACATTTTTCTTGTAAAGGTCTTTCTGATATACAGCATTTGAAACTTCCTCCATTGTTCATGATCATTAATGCTTAATTTCAAAGATCATTTAATATGTACTTTGTAAGAAGTCTGGATATCGATTTTTAGGTTTTCTTGGCTTGATTGATTTGGTGAGCTGAAAGAAAGACACTGCTTCATCAGAATTCAAACAACAGAAAACATCTCCCAGGTGAATTTTCAATTCTATATAACTTGCTCATTTTTAAGGAAATGTAAAAATAGATCGTATAACTTTTGCTCATTTGCTTCCTAGGACAATTAACACTTTAATACCACTACTTATATTAAGACAAAACCATGCATTTTTTCTCTATTTTTATGTAATTCGACTTAAAACTGTATGTATTGAAGGCCTACAGTGAGTCAAGTTCAACTCCATTTTCCTAAGATACATCAATGAACCAAACAAAAACACCTCCTTTATGGAGCTTACATTCTAGAGGTGACAAGGAGACAGATAACAGTGCACCTAACTCACCCAGGATATGTTACATTTCAAAGCAATGAGCCTTCTGGAGCCAAAGCTAAAGTAAAGCAAGGAAAGGGCTTGCAGTTGTTGGTAGGGCCTGGGGGTGGGTTACCATTTATTTAGGCCCATAAGAGCAGGCCTCTTTTTGGTGATATTTGACAATAATGTTGAACGGCACATTTGGAGAGAGCTATGATGAGGCCAGTGTGGTTAGGGAAGAAGATGAATAAACCAGAGGAAAAGTCAAGATGTGGACAACTAAGGGCAGCATGATCACGTTGGTGGTTAAGTCATTATAAAGAATTATACTCAGACTGAAATAGGGAGCTACATAAAAGTTTTTAGCAAAGGAATGAAAAGATTTCATGTAGGTTTCTCCCCTCGCCCCCCTCCCTTTCCCTGCCCTCCTCTCCCTGTTTTTTGACAGAGTCTCGCTCTATTGCCCAGGCTGGAGTGCAGTGGCGTGATCTCTGCTCACTGCAACTTCAGCAACCCCCGCCTTTCGGGTTCGAGAGATTCTCCCACCTCAGCCTCCAGGGAAGCTGGGATTACAGGTGTGCACCAGCAGGCCTGGCTAATTTTTGTTTTTTGATTAGAGACTGAGTTTCAGTATGTTGGCCAGGCTGGTTTCAAACTCCTGACCTCAGTTATCCACCCACCTCAGCCTCTCAAAGTGCTGGGATTACAGGTGTGAGCCACCACACCCGGCTTGATTTCACCTAGGTTTCTAAACAAGATTTCTGGCTATCATCTAGGAAAATTATGAAAGACAGATAAGGATCAAATCAGTTCAGCTAATTATAAGGCTATTGCTTTAATTTAGACAAGAAATTATGGAAAATGTAGCAAGTCCAAATAGATACATCTACTTAAGGAAACATCCAAAAGCATATTTGAATAGGAGAATATCTTGTTTACATACTGATCATATCTAATATGCAAAGAGTTTTTATTACTTTAAATTGCAAGTTTTGAAAAACCCATTCACTTCTCTTATGTGATGAATCACTTTTGACAACACCCCTTTGACCTAAATAACTATATTTCAGTGTGACTTTATTTGATGGGCAGATTATATAAAATACTTTGAAACACACCACACTGGTACACAGTAAAATTAAAGAGGATAATTTAGCAGGGCTTAATTCATAACTCTGGTATTGCAAATTTCTTTTCATTTTATTCTTCCAAAACATGTTTCTTGGAGTTAGGCCTAATAGGTTGAGGAACAAATACAAAAATTAGGTGTGGGTCACAGGTCATTCCAGACTTGGTTTATCATCTTAAAGAGGATTTGAAAGATAAAATTCCCTTTACCACAGTTTCTTGTTATGGCATTCTTGTGCATGTCATGTTTAATAAGTTTCTGTCTTCTTGAAAACCTTTAAAATATTTTTTATAAATATCTAGTTGAGCACTCAGTCTTATTCTATCCAGTCATGATTCTAATCTGCACCTCTATGATTTCAAACCTTGTTATTCAATATCTTAGCTATTATACACTTTTTTATCTGCTAAGTGCAATAAGCCCCTATTTTCACATGAATTCTTACATCAACAGTTCAAGGAAATTGCATACATTAGAATGGTCCTTTCTCCTGAAAACTCATGGTATATTTACTATAAAGAAAATAATGTCATCATTCGAACTATTGCTAAATTTTTTACAAGATTACAAGTACATTATAATTAACAAAAAATTTGAGAAATCCTTTATAAAAATATAAAATTTTTTTAAAAATGTACAGGTTGCATTAGTAATTAACATTTATGGATAATTACTTGAAACATAATTTATATTTGACAAATCATGGTGCTGTAACTCAGAGACACACATTTTTGGGAAGGAAAACAAAACATAAGAAAATATCATAAATATCATCTGGAATGCAGAGCCCCCTCAGCTCCGCCACTAGCTAATAATACCTGCTTTCCTTAAGTACCTCTGAGATTCCCTCCAGTTCTCAGAATTCACTGCTAGCAACACTCTTTCTATTTCATTCCTATATATGTGTGCCAAAGGCCAACCTGAGTATATTTAGCTAAGTTCATTCTGATATTAGATCGTTATGATTAATACTGAGTGTCAACTTGATTGGATTGAAGGATGCAAAGTATTGATCCTGGGTGTGTCTGTGAGGGTGTTGCCACAGGATATTAACATTTGAGTCAGTGGCTGGGAAAGGTAGACCCACCCTTAATCTGGGTGGGCACCATCTAATCTGCTGCCAGCATGGCTAGAATTTAAACGGGCAGAAAAATGTGAAAAGAGAGACTGGCCTAGCCTCCCAGCCTATATCTTTCTGCGATGCTGGATGCTTTCTGCCCTCAAACATTGGACTCAAATTCTTCAGTTTTGGAACTCGGACTGGCTCTCCTTGCTCCTTAACCTGCAGACTGCCTATTGTGGGACTTTGTGATCATATGAGTTAATACTTACTATTATATATACACATATATATATATTTATATATGTGTATATATACACACACACATATATATATACACATATATAGTTCTGTCCTTCTAGATATATTAGCTGTGTCCCTCTACAGAACCCTGACTAATTCACAGATAAAGAGTAATATGTGAATAAACATAAATCAGTATATCACATTTTATTGTGTTTCCCTTTACTGCGCTTTACAAAAATTGCATTTCTTTAAAAATTGAGGGTTTGTGGTAACCCAGCATGAAGCAAGACTATCAGTACCATTTTTCCAATAGCAACGGTTCACTTCTGTGTCTCTGCATTACACTTTGGTAATTCTCACAATATTTCAAACTTTTTTTCTACATTATATCAGTTATGTTGATGTGTGATCAGAGATTTTCGATGTTACTCTTGTCATTGATTGGGGGGACACAAACCATATAAGATGGCAAACTTATTTGATAGACATTATGTGTGTTCTGACTGCTCCACCAACAGCCATCCCATTTCTCCATTCCTCTTCTTGGTCTTCCCTACTCCCTAAGACATAACAATATTAAAATTATAACAATCACTCTACAATGGCCCTGAAATATTCAAGTGAAAAGAAGGACCATACATCTTTCACGTTAAATTAAAAGCTAGAAATCATTAAGTTTAGTGAGGAAACCATCCTCACTAAAATGGAAATTATCCTATTTGAAAAGAAGTTTGACTACAGGTAAAATGCTATCAAACAGAATCAAGTGCTACAGATAAATCTTTCATTAAGGGAAAAACAATGTGACAAACATCATTGTTGTCTTATGTTAAGACATTGCCACAGCTACTCCAACCTTCATTACCCACCACTCTGATCAGTCAACAGTCATCAATATGGAAGCAAGACATTCTACCAGCAAAAAGATTCTGACTCGCTGAAGCTCCCATGGTTTAACAAATCATTTTAAAGTAAGGTATATACATAGCTTTGTAGACATAATGCTATTGCACACTTAATAAACTACAGTATAGTGTAAACATAATTTTTTATGCACTGGGAAGCCAAAAATTTTGTGTGACTCACTTTAATGCAATATTTGATTTATTGCTATGGCCTAGAACTAAATCTGTAATATCTCTGAGGTACGCCTGTAATCAAGGGGATAAGTTATTTATCAACTCTTATACATCATACAACCTCCTGACTAAAAAAAACTAACAAAACACAATACTTAATATTAGGGAAAAAATAAAGAAATTTATTATGAAATTCAATCATCACTCATATTCTAAATGCCTGCTCCTTGAAAAAGCTTTTGATAAGTCACACTTTCCATTTCTAGGACTTTGCAATTTATTGAGATAAAAATCTATGAAGAGATAAACAGCTCATTTAACTAGAACACAGACAATGAGGGAGGGGAAGTGGCAGTTAGTATCATAATGCTCTAGACTTTAATAGAGAGTTATTAAATCTTTGTTCATAGGATATGTCTTTCATTTTACTAAATGGCTCTCTGTAAACCTGGCAAAATGAATGATTTGCCAGATATTGTGAAAAGGGTAGAACTAGGGTATTTTATAAAGTATAAGTTCAATCTATTTGCCTGGCTCTCATTGCTTATAAGCCAGTCTACTGAAGGCTTATCAGCTACATTATAATGATTTTAAAAGCAAAGCAGTTATGAATTTTCTACATTCCATGTCCTTGTATCCCTAACCAGAAGTTATTGAGAGGGCAGAGATAGCAAAACATCATGCTATTGAATAGCAAGTACTGCTTCTGTAATACCTATAATAACTGGACCTTGGTTTATAAAATTCAAACAAATTACTTAGAAATATATTTTTATTTTAATCTTATTTTATTTTTTGGGGACAGACTCTCACCCTGTCACACAGGCTGGAGTGCAGTGGCATGAAACTCAACTCACTAAAACCTTTGCCTCCCAGGCTCAAATGATTCTCCTGCCTCAGCCTCCCGAGTAGCTGGGACCACAGGTGCACATCAGGCCTGGCTGTTTTATTTTTTATTTTTGTAGAGACAGGGCTTTGCCATGTTGCCCAAGCTGGTCTCGAACTCTCTGCCCATCTTGGCCTCCCAAAGTACTGTGATAAGAGTCAGGAGCCACCACACCTGGCCAGAAACATATACATGTATATATATATTTTTTTCTTTTTTTAAAGTTATACTTTAAATTTTGGAGTACATGTGCAGAATGTGCAGATTTGTTACATAGGTATACACATGCCATGGTGGTTTGCTGCACCCATCAACCTGTCATCTACATTAGGTAATTCTCCTAACACTATCCCTCCCCTAGCCACCCACCCCCTGACAGGCCCCGGTGTGTGATGTTCCCCTCTCTGTGTCCATGTGTTCTCATTGTTCAACTCCAACTTATGAGTGAGAACATGCAGTTTTTGGTTTTCTGTTCTTGTGTTAGTTTGCTAAGAGTGATGGTTTCCAGCTTCATCCATGTCCCTGAAAAGGACATGAACTCATCCCTTTTTATGGCTGCATAGTATTCCATGGTGTATATGTGCCACATTTTCTTTATCCAGTCTATCATTGATGGACATTTGGCTTGCTTCCAAGTCTTTGCTATTGTGAACAGTGCAACAATAAACATACGTGTGCATGTATTTTTATAGTAGAATGATTTATAATCCTTTGGGTATATACTCAGTAATGGGATTGCTGGGTCAAATGGTATTTCTGGTTCTAAATTCTTGAGGAATTGCCACACTGTCTTCCACAATGGTTGAACAGAAATATATTTTTTAAATAAACATAAATACTTTGGAACTAGCCTGAAAAGTTAGTTACCTTGTACACAAATCAGCAAAATTTTCTTTCATAAAAATATTTTATATTAAAAGCCAAGCCATTCACTAATGTCAGACAAATCACTGCCCCCTTGGTGACTACAGTACCTTTTGATTTTATTAATTCTTTACTGATTCCAATTAATAAAGATAAATCTGAGAAGGAAATTATATGATGTTTCATTTTGAGAATCTGAGTTACATTTAGAACTAAAGAAGAAATGAAGGAAGTCCATATTTCTGCAATTATTCCCTCTGGTTGCCTCTATTCCAAAGACAAGGACCGCTCCCAAGACCACACTATGAATTAGGCTGAGAATAACAGCTAAACTGAACTAACAGGATCCTAGCGAAGATAGACCTAGGTAATCAAAAATCACTTGGGGAATAGTTGAGAATGAGGATCAGATATTGAGGGGGTTCAGATGTCAAGGATAGGGGATTCTTGCTAACCTGACTTAGCAGTGTCCTTGCTAACATTGGATTTTACAGAAGAGTGCACAAATGGACCTAGGAGAAGGATCAGGAGCCTAATTAGTGTGGTCAAGCAAAGAGTCTGTCACCTCCAAACCCCGTGTTCTGTTTTCCCTTTCTTCCAAACTGTGAATCTGTCATCCATAAGAATGTCATCCGTAAGAATCTTACATATACCCTTAAACCCTTTGCCCTTATCGTCTTTTTTTTTTTTTTTTTTTTGTGTGTGTGTAGATGGAGTCTCGCTCTGTCGCCCAGGTTGGAGTGCAGAGGCCCAACCTCGGCTCACCGCAACCTCTGCCTCCCGGGTTCAAGGGATTCTCCTGCCTCAAACCCCTGAGTAGCTGGGACTACAGGTGCATGTCATCATGCCCAGCTACTTTTTGTATTTTTAGTAGAGATAGGGTTTCACCATATTGGCCAGGCTGGTCTCGAACTCCCAACCTCGTGATCCGCCTGCCTCGGCCTCCCAAAGTGCTGGGATTACAGGTGTGAGCCACCATGCCCGGCCTCGTTCTTTATACTATATGCCTACATAACTGCAACCATGATTGATCTAACACTTCTAACTTTTCTAGTGTCTGCAGGTGGCTGAGGAAGAAAGTTAAATAATATTACTTCAAATTTATACATATTTTATCACTGACTTCTGGGACTCCACATTATATTATCTCCCTTATTTGTACGATTCATCTCTATTTTGTATTTCTTGATAGTTTTCCTAATCTTCCTATTCT
Source organism: Homo sapiens (assembly GCF_000001405.40). Lineage (NCBI taxonomy): Eukaryota > Metazoa > Chordata > Mammalia > Primates > Hominidae > Homo > Homo sapiens. Next base: position 67,420 of record NW_009646199.1, on the reverse strand, counting down.
CTAAATAATGGGATGATACAGGGATCAATACTTAGAAATGAATGCTTCATGCAAGTTTCTACAAAGGTTTTTCCATCTAAGCATATGACAACACCTTTCTTGTGCTTGCAAAATCTTTGGCATCCCTATCCACATCCAATCTATCCACAAATTGTCCCAGTTTTATCTTGAAAATGTACCTAATATTTAACCACTCACTCATTAACAAGTATTCAAACACCAAGTCAACCTTACCTTTCAATTGGGTCTCTGCAGTAACATATTAACTGAGTCCTACTTCCTAATGTTGTACCTGAGCGAGTTAGAGAAAACACCACACTTTGAGACAAATTAAGAGTCCATTTATTTAGCCGGCGGCCAAGAGACGGCTAACGCTCAAAATTCTCTTGGCCCCGAAGAAGGGGCTAGATTTTCTTTTATACTTTGGTTTAGAAAGGGGAGGGGGGCCTAGTTAAAACAATTTTACAGAAATAAAGTAGGCAAAAAGTTAAAAGGATAAATGGTTACAGGAAAGTAAACAGTTCCAGGTGCAGGGGCTTTAAGACTATTACAAGGTGATAGACTCGGGGCTTTGGGCGTTATCAATCAGACGAATTCCTGGGAATTGCAGATGTAGCTTGCCACAGTATCTTTATCAGTTAATTGCATTCTTGGATGTGCTGGGAGTCAGCTTGCACAAATTAAGTCCTTGAGGAAGGGGCTGCCAGTGACAGAGCCAAGATGGAGTCTGTCTGGCTGTCTTAGCTAAGGGAGAGTCAATTCAGGTGGAAACAAGGCTAGGTGATTAAAGGAAAAGGGAGAGTCTAAAAACAGGGTTAGTAAAAACAAGGTTGGGCATTACACTTATCTCTTACCAATGTCATGTTCTATATACAACGTCTGAACCATCCTTTCTAACGGCCCCTCCCAGTGTTTTCCTATTTCTCTTGGAGTAAAATTCAAAGTCTTAGTTCAATATGTCATCAAATATACCTCCCAACCTGGAATATTCTCCCACCAGATATTTGCATGGCTTCCTTCAGGCATCTGCCTAAACATATCTGATATGATTAGGCCTACTGGCCCTGCACAAATCTCATCTTGAATTATCATCCCCCTAATCCCCATGATCCCCACGTGTCAAGGGAGAGACCAGGTGGAGATAATTGGATCATGGGGGCGGTTTCCCCCATGCTGTTCTCATGATAGGGACTGAGTTCTCATGAGGTCTGACGGTTTTGTAAGTGTTTGGTAGTTCTTCCTGCATTCATTCTCCTTCCTGCCGCCTTGTGAAGAAGGTGCCTTGCTTCCCCTTTTCCTTCCCCAATGATTGTAAGTTTCCTGAGGCCTCTGCAGCCATGCTGAGCTGTGAGTCAATTAAACCTCTTTCCTTTATAAATTACCTAGTCTCAGGCAGTTCTTTATAGCAGTGTGAAAATGGACTAATACAATATTTGTGTCAGAGAGTTTACCACTGATCACCCTATATAAAATGACGGATCCTCCTACTCACTGATAGCATTTGCCATTCCCTTCCTTATTTTTTTTTAATTATTACTACATAATATTGTGATTATAGATTCTATATAACTAATTAAATTGAATGACGAGTTGAGCATCTCTAACCTGAAATTTAAAACGCTCCGAATTTCAAAACTTTCTGAGCGGTGACATGATGTCGCAAGTGAAAAATTTCACACCTGACCTCATGTGATGGGTCTGTCAAAAGACAGTCAATATTTTGTTTCATGCACAAAATTATTTAAGACATTGTATAAATTATGTCCAGGCTATGTGTTTTAGGTGATACGAAACATAAGTGAGTTTCCTCTTTAGACATGGGTCCCATCTCCAAGATATCTCACTATGTATATACTAACATTTCAAAAGCCTAAAGAAATTTAGAATCTGAAACACACTTGGTCTGAACCATTTTGGATAAGGGAAATTCAACCTGTATTTGTTTACTTTTGTCTATAACCTTGAGAATGTAAGGCCTCCTAACGTTAGTTCTTATTTTTATTGTTAGTGTTAATTAAAGCTTCATTTAAAAAAAAAAAAACACAGACTCTTCCAAGTTGTTGTGGCCAGATCCTAGAAGTGGCTCCCAGGGTGTTCGTATCATCTAGAATATTCTCCATCTGAGTGTGAGCAGGACCTGTGACTTGCTTCTTGTCAATAGAATATGACAAAGAGAAAGGATTTTGCAGATGTAATTAAGTTTTACAAATCAGTTTATGCTGTGAATCATAAAGGGGATTATCCTAGGTAGGTCTAATATAATCAGGTTTAAGCTCCTAAGAGAGGAATTGGACCCTCTTTAAGGTGACAAATCTTTATGCTGTCTTAATGAAGAAAGTGGTCATGTTAAAGAAGCCCAAATGGCAAGAAATTATAAGTAACTTCTAAGAACTGTGAGCAGTCCCTAGCCATCAGCCAACAAAATGCTAGAGCCTTCAGTAATTGCACAGCCACCAGGAAATAGATTCTACCAATGACCTGAAGTTTAGATGTAGATTGATCCCCAGTTGAACCTCTAGCTGAGAATGAACTCTGGGTGGACCCTCAGTTGCAGGTTTATATGATTCCCAGTGGAATATCCAGCTAAATTATATCCAGATTTCTGACCTACAGAAACTATGAGGCAGGGCACAGTGGCTCATGCCTGTAATCCCAGCACTTTGGGAGGCTGAGCTGGGTGGATCACCTGAGGTCAGGAGTTCAAGACCAGGCTGGCCAACATGGCAAAACCTGTCTCTACCAAAAATACAAAAATTAGTCAGGCATGGTGGCACGCCCCTGTAATCCCAGCTACTCAGGAGGCTGAGGCAGTAGAATCGCTTGAACCTAGGAGGCAGAGGTTGCAATGAGCTGAGATGGCACCACTGCACTCCAGCCTGGCGACAGAGTGAGACTCCGTCTCAAAAAAAAAAAAAAAAAAAAAAAAAAGAAACTATGAGATAATATATGCATATATTTATAAGCTGCTGAGATTGTACAACTTTGTAACATGTCAATGTGGTATATATAATACTAACATGACAGCATCATGCATTATAATTATTTTTAAATGCATGTGAATCCCTTAGGTAAAAGGACTGTTATATTTTTCTTTACCCCAGGCTCAATTCTAACATTTTAAGATGTATAATACTTGATCATTGAATAAACGGATGGATGAATGACTGAATAAATTGACAAAGTAGCTCTTCTTTCAATCAGGTGCAGGAAGGAAGGACAAGCACAGAAATCTTCTTCTTAAAATTGATTGGAAGAAATAGAGCAAGTAAATAGTAATGATAGTTATTTATTCATTTGCAGTTCAAAAATATTTTAAGATAATACCATTTCACTGAAGCCTTACAACTATTTTGAATAAGAGATGATCATGTATATATTAGTCATTATAAATTTGAATCCGTGTAAATGCTCTGAGATTCAAATTAGCACAAGATCGGTCACACACATGCAATTATGGAGCACTACAATTATTTCTTTTGACCTGGGATCACAAGCACTATTTGCTACATCACTTTGTCTATTATCACAGTATTAATTACACTGGTTATATAGGGAATATTAACAAAATATTCACTTGGCTGATATCAATGTTCATGTGCTAGTAAGATTTGTTCAATTTATTGGCATCAAAGCAGAAAACGTCTTGTTAGGAAAGTCAAGACACATATGAAATTAAGAGGTTAAAGGGCACTAGATACTCTTATCACAAACGCAGTTGCCTCTGCCCCAAACCTTGCCTTTTTGTCAATGTGAGTAATTAGTGCTTCTAACTACATTTAATAATGTTCAATATTTTAGGAACACTAATTAACCCACACAACATTGTCTCATCTGCATTTTATAAGTTGAAGAAACTAAAGCAGATAAAGGTTAAGAACCTAACCCAGGGTCACAACACATTAGTAGGACAGTAAAGATTACTGTTCCAGACCTCTTAAAATTCCTTTTGCAAAAGGAACCTGGAGTCATCTTCTTGCCGTGAACACTTTGCTGCTTGCAATTCCTATAGTGTTGCAAAGAGTTGTTGCTAATTCCTATTGATAAGCCAAGTAGCATTAGAGTCTTCATCTGTCATCTCACATTAAGCTGCCCCCCAAGTTCTTGGCAGGAGCCCTAGACCAGCTATACTAGGCCTTCATTTCTAGCCATGTTCTCTTGCAGCATTCACAGTGGAAGCATTTTTTGTAAAACCTGCACTGAAAGAATTTAGAAGACTACATTGTTTGGATGTCCTCTTTGGTCCCCCTTGTGGTTTTCTGTTTTTCTTTCCTTCCCCTTCATATGTCCTATCTCTATGAAGTAAATATTATCCGCCTAAGTTCCCTACAAACTTTCCTGTTATTCCCAATCTTCTACTTATGATTTTAGCTCTTCATCATAACCATCAAACCCATTATTATTATTATTATTATTATTATTTGAGATGGAGTCTTGCTCTGTCACCCAGGCTGGAGTGCAGTGGTGCGATCTCGGTTTACTGCAACCTCTGCCTCCCAGGTTCAAGTGATTCTCCTGCCTCAGCTTCCCAAGTAGGTGGGACTACAGGCTTGTGTCACCACACCCAGCTAATTTTTTTGTGTTTTTAGTAGAGACGGGGTTTCACCATGTCAGTCAGGCTGGTTTCGAACTCCTGACCTCAAATGATCCACCCACCTTGGCCTTCCAAAGTGCTGGGATTACAGGTGTGAGCCACCATGCCTGGCACCCCATTATGTTTTTAGCAGTGTCGGTATCCACATAGATAATCTGATCAATACTTATCACCATTTTTTGCTAGCCACACATCAGCAAATTACTCATTTTACTTATACTCCAAGCCTTCCTTGGAGGTAAAAACTTAGTTTCACTACCTCTTAAATCTCATTTCTATCTATCATCATCCAAGAATCACTTCCCATCTTTCCAAGTTACACACTTTAGTATAATAACTGAATAAAGTATTTACCTCTACAATTATTTTAATCCAGGGTCCTCAACACTTCACTTTCCATGACCCCTCTCTGTCCTGGTTGGCATTCCACTAAAGGAGACACTGCAATCTAAGTGCTTGGGTGTGTGTGGTTTATTTCTGAGGTGATTTCAAGAAGAAAAACTCAGGATGTGGGAAAAGTGAATTAAAGAAGAGAAGAAGCAAACACAGTGTGCAATAATAATCCATGTATTACAATAGACAAATGCAGCACAAGCTTCCTGAAGATCCACTGTGGAACTATGCAAGACACACTTTAGAATTTTCCATAGAAGAGTGTAGAAGTTGGTGAATTTACTCAATGACTCCACAATTTCATTGGTTGAGATTTGTATGGGGGCTCAATTCTTGTTGTCAGGTGATAAATATTGTGAATATAAGCTGAGAAAAATATTTAAGTGTTAGAAAAAGCCTTGACCATGAGCAGTGGCTCATGCCTGTAATCTCAGCACTTTGGGAGGCTGAGGCAAGCAGATCATGAGGTCAGGAGTTGGAGACCATTCTGGCCAAAGTAGTGAAACCTTGTCTCAACTAAAAATACAAAAGAAATTAGCCGGCTGTGGTGGTGGGCACTTGTAATCCCAGCTACTTGGGAGGCTGAGGCCTCCCGTTTGAACCAGGGAGGCAAAGATTGCAGTGAGCTGAGATCATGCCATTGCACTCCAGCCCTGGGCAACAGGTGTGAGACTCCGTCTCAAAAAAAAAAAAAAAAAGAGAGAGAGAGAAAGCCTTAAGGCAGATAAGGCAGATAAGCTGAGAACCAGTGGCACTTGAGGAAGGAAACTATCAGCACACATGTGAACGGTTTACTGCCCCTGTAGTTATAAGTTGTAGTCAAATGAAGGAACATGAGGTAGAGACATGACACCCCTCAGATTTTCATCTTATTACCTGGCATAGGTTGCACAGAGCAGATCTCTCAACACTGACTTGATTCACTGTTGAGTTCTTCTGTTGAGTCATCCTTCTCTTGTACTCCTCTGTAAGAAACTCAGAGGAGTAAACTTACAGATCAATTTTCCGGAATTACACCCCAAATAGCTGATTATTGCCAAATACCTGATGACGATTGGATGGATTTCAAATTTAGGATGAATCACATTTTGAAATTTTAACTTCATAAACCTAGACAATTATCTGACAGTTTCCTCATATGTAACTTTTCCTATTTCCCAGAAGAATGTTTCATGCCTCATGCCCAGTTATTACCTCACACCACAGTTCACAGACAAAGCATGTAGACCCAGCCTATGTGCCTCCAAACTCATATAATCAAACACATCTTCTATTACTCAGAGAAGTAGCCCTCCTCGATTTAAATCCAGACATTCCACCAACCTCTGGATTCATCCCTTCTTTCCTTTCATGGACCTCAGTTTTGCAGTCATTATCTATTTTTTTGTCCATAGTCATATACACATCCTGAATATCCCCCATTTAAATAGCAAAATAAAATACACAAAAGTACATTGAATGCACATAGATGTCTGGCTATCTCCTCATTTGGCTCGACTTTTTACAACAAAACTTAGAATAACAGCTATGAATATGTACGATTTCCATTTCCACATATTCTCTATCACAACAAATCCAACTTTGACGTCATAAACACTAAAATATCTCTTAACCAGCTCTTAAATATTTTAAAATTTTGCCAGAACCTGTAATCAGTATTTATCCTTGACTTCATAGTGGCATTGGACATAATCAACCCATTTTTCTTGAAACATGTTTCCTTTAGCTTTCATTGAGTCCCACTCATTTAGGTGGTTTTGTTGTTGTTGTTATTATTTTGGTGGAGGGTCGGGGGAGATGTTTTTGCATTTGTGGTTATTTTCTGGCTTTCCCCCATGGTCACACAGAATACTTTTTAGTCTCCTTTGATGAACCTTTTCACTCTGTCATGCTGTTAGGGTGCCACAGGGCTGAGCCCTAAGCCCTCTCCACTACTCCATCTTTACCGTCTCCTCAGATAAAATGATCCAGTCTTTGAGACTTATGAAATATTTTCTTATGACTCCCATTTCTCTCTCCAACTCCATTTCCTCCTCTAAGTTCCAGACATTTACAAATCTAACAGCTTGTTCTTTTCCACTTGTATATGTAACAACTCCCCAAACCTAAACTCTCTCCTGGCCAAGTCTTCTTCATTTCAGTTAAAGATTCTGTGTGTGCATGTGTGTTTGTGTGTGTGTAAATAAAACATATTCATATAATAAAATATAGGGGTTATTAATGTAAGCAGAAACAAAGGGAAATAATAGAACAAATCTTTTTAAAAATCATATCTTTTTAAATTGACAAAAATTGTATATATTTATTGTGTATGATGTGATGTTTTGAAATATTTGTGTATTGTGGAATGACTGAATCAAGTTATTTAACACATGCATTACCTCACATAGCTTTTTGGGGCAAAGCACTTAAAATCTACTCTCAGCAATTTTCAAGCATAAAATACATTGTTATTAACTATAGTCGCCATATTATAAAATACGTTGCTTGAATGTTTCCTTCTGTCTAACTCAAAATTTGAATCCTTGGTACTACATCCCCCCAACTAGTGCGTAAACCCAGTCCCTGGTAAATGCTATTCTACTTTCTACTTTTATGTGTTTGACATTTTGGGATTCTACATATGAGTGAGATCATGTGGTATTTTTCTTTCTGTGCCTGGATTATTTCAACTAACATAATGTTTAATGATGCAATTTGTTATTGCAAATGACAGGACTTCATTATTTTTATGGCTAAAGAATATTCCATTGCGTATATATACCACGTTTTCTTTTGTTCATCCACTGCTGGACAACTAAGTAAATTCTATAACTTGGCTATTGTGAATAATGTTGCAATAAACAAGGGAGCACAGATTTCCCTTTGATATACTTATTTCCTTTCTTTTGGGTATACATATATATATTTGGATCATATGATAGTTTTACTTTTAGGTTTTTGAAGAACCTCTATAGTGTTTTTCACTATGGTTGTAAAAGAGTTCCCTTTTCAGCCTGGCGCGGTGTCTCACGCCTGTAATCCCAGTACTTTGGGAGGCCGAGGCGGGCAGATCATGAGGTCAGGAGATAGAGACCATCCTGGCTAACACGGTGAAACCCCGTCTCTACTAAAAATACAAAAAAATTTAGTCGGGCGTGGTGGCGGGCGCCTATAGTCCCAGCTACTCGGGAGGCTGAGGCAGGAGAATGGCGTGAACCCGGGAGGGGGAGCTTGCAGTGAGCCGAGATCGTGCCACTGCACTCCAGCCTGGGCGACAGAGCGAAACTCTGTCTCAAAAAAAAAAAAAAAAAAAGAGTTCCCTTTTCTTCACATCCTCTCTTAACACTTGTTATTTTTTGTCTTTTTGATAATAGCCATTCTAAGAGGTGTGAGGTGTTACCTCATCGTGATTGTAATTGAATTTCAATCACAGGTGTGAGGTGTTACCTCATTGTGATTATAATTGAATTGTGATTGTAATTTGAATTTCCCCAATGATTAGTAATGTTGAACATTTTTTAATAAACCTGTTGGCCATTTATAAAAATCAAGTTATTTGTTTTATTCCTATTGAGTTGTCTGAATTCCCTACATATAGAATATTAACCTTATTAAATGTATGGTTTATAAATATTTTCTCCCATTTGTAGGTTGTCTCTTCATTCTGTTGACTGTTTCCTTTTCTGTGCAGAGCTTTTCAGTTTGCGAATCCCATTTGTCTACTTTGCTTTTGTTGCTGGTACCTATAGACTCAGCTCCAAAAAATTTATTACTTAAGTCAATGTCATGGAGCTTTTTTTCGTTCTATTTGCTTCTAGTAATTTTACAGTTTCAGGTCTGAAATTTAAGTCTTTAATATATTTTGATTTGATTGTTTTTCTGTGTTATAAGAGTCTAATTTTATTCTTCTGCATGTGGATATCCAGTTTTCCTAGCATCATTTATTTTCCTCTAATTTATTTATTTTAAATTAACAAATATAATTGTATATATTTATCAAGTACATGATGTTTTTCTGTGTATATACATTGTGGAATATTTAAATCTAGCTGATTAAAATATGCATTACCTCACAGTTATTATTTTTGTGGTGTGAACATTTTACATCACTCAGTATTTCTCAGCACCATTTATTGAAAAGACAATCCTTTCTCCATTGTGTGTTCCTAGAATCTTTGTCAGAAATCAATTAACTGTAAATTCATAAAATTATTTCTGGGTTCTCTATTCTGTTCCATTGGTCTATGTGTCTGATTTTTGTACCAGTACCATACTGATCTGATTACTATGGCTTTGTTTTAGATTTGAAATTAAGCAATGTGGTGCAATCACCTTTGTTCTTTTTGCTCAACATTGCTTTGGCTAGTCAGAGTTTTTTGTGGCTTCATACAAATTTTAGGATTGTTTTTTCTAGTTCTGTAAAAAACTGTCATTGGAACTTTGATAGCTATGGATTGAATACATAGATTGTTTTGGGTAGTTTTCAGTGTGCAAGTTTTTTTTTTTTTTTTTTTTTTTTACCATCTTTGTTGAATTTTTTTCCTTAAGTACTTTATTTTTCTTGATGTGGTTATAAATGAGATTGTTTAATTATTTCCTTTTCAGATTCTTTGTAGTGCATAGAAACACAGGTGATTTTTGTTTATTTTTTATTCTGCAACTTTACTGTATTTGCTTATTAGTTCTAACAGTTTTTTTGGTGGAGTCTTTAGAGTTTTCTTTTTTTTTTTTTTTTTTTTTTTTTGAGATGGAGTCTCTCTCTGTTGCCCAGGCTGGAGTGCAGTGGTGCAATCTTGGCTCACTGCAAGCTCCGCCTCCCAGGTTCATGCCATTCTCCTGCCTCAGCCTCCCAAGTAGCTGGGACTACAGGTGCCCGCCACCACGCCTAGCTAATTTTTTGTATTTTTAGTAGAGACAGGGTTTCACCGTGTTAGCCAGGATGGTCTCGATCTCCTGACCTCATGATCTGCCCACCTTGGCCTCCCAAAGTGCAGGGATTACAGGCGTGAGCCACTGCGCCCGGCCTAGAGTTTTCTATATGTAAGATCATGTGTCTGCAAGCAAGGACAGTTTAACTACTATTCCAGTTTAGATGCCTGTAGTTTTTTTCTCTTACCTAATTTCTCGGGGTTAGACTTCCCTTTCAGTGTTGACAGAAAAAGGGAAAGTGGGCATATTTGTCTTCTTCCTGATCTTAGAGGATAATGTTTCAGCTTTTCATGGTTGAATATGATGTTAGCTGTGGGCTTGGCATATATGGCGTTTATTGTGTTGACTTAAAGAAAATCTTAATTTAGATAAAAAAGCAAATGAGTAATGACAATTTAACTCTGAACAAATGGAGAGGTGAATATCTAATGTTATGTTGAAAGTTAAAAGTTAACCAAAGTTTGTTGATCATAGAGCAAGGCTTTCTGATATATACTTCACAAATAAATTTTGCCATGATAAGTACAACAAAATGCATGGAATCACGAAAGCAAATTAAGAGGTAAAAATGTTAAGCAATTTTTCTTAAAGAGCATATATACATATATTATAAAGCATTTTTACTGAGTTTTACTGTCTAACTTCATTTATTGCATCTAGAATGAACTTTTAGAAAAAGTAAACTCAAATCAATCTCATTTTTTTCACATTTATTATGCCTTAAAAATGAACACATAATCACAGAGTAATAAAGCTGGAAGAGGCATGAGACATTAAAGAGAAAATCCTTACTTTTTGGAAGAGAAAATGGTCAAGGGTGTTAATTTCATGAAAGTGGCTGGGGAAGCTTTCTGAGGGACCTACTGTGACCCTTCCTCCACTTTGCTAGCATCATTGACGGCTGGAAACCTTTATTTGCACTGTAGTTTTTCCTCCATGGAGCTTTTCTGCTGCAGTTGTGTAGCTTTGTTGGCAAAACAGATCCTTGCCAGTGTCTGTTTGTGTTTTTGGAATAGTCACATCATTCACAATTTTATGTTCACATTGCACTTTTCATGTCATAAGAGTCAAGAACCTCCATGCTCAGATGCACTCTGCACCTGTGTTGGGAGTTGGCAAGAGGCTCAACTCAGCTGAGTCACCCACCAAACACACTTTGGCACTGTCAGAATAAGGCAAAGACTGCTGCTGCCACAGACTTCTTCTGGTGGTAACTCACACCCGGTATGGAGGGTGGCAGAGGTCAATGGGCAGAGCAGCAAGGCTGGGGTCCTGTGAGGTGCAAATTCCAGGTGTCAGGATCATGAGGGAATAGCAGCTTCAAGTCCTGGACACATGACGCATTATCCCATCAGAATTTACTTAAAAATACAAATTCAGAGATATCATTAAGAATTAGGCCAGGCTTGGTGGCTCACGCCTGTAATCCCAGCACTTTGGGAGGCCAAGGCGGGCAGATCACGAGGTCAGGAGATTGAGGCCATCCTGGCCAACATGGTGAAACTCTGTCTCTACTAAAATACAAAAAATTAGCCGGGTGTGGTGGTGTGTGCCTGTAGTCTCAGCTACTTGGGAGGCTGAGGCAGGGGAATCACTTGAAGCTGGGAGGCAGAGGTTAAAATAAACCGAGATCATGCCATTGCACTCCCGCGTGGAAACAGAGCAAGACTCTGTTTCAGAAAAAAAAAAAAAAGAATTAAAAGCTTGCAATGAAGATCATTAAACTCTTAAGTGCTGGCCCTTCTAAGAGTTGGGCGCTGTGGAACTGTACTAGTCACCCATCCAAAGATTCAGCCCTGCCTAGAGATGGTGGAAAATCTCAAGAATGAGAATATATTCATCTCGCATATTGTTTAATGGAATTGGGGACAGAAAATGGTTGATTACATTTTAGCTATAAAGTAAGATTCATGCAAAATATGCATATATATAGACACTCAGTTGTTTTATAATAAAGATTATTAGTAACAACTTTTGCCGTATAGTTTAAATAGCATTAGTATTCTCTAATTCATGAATATTTAAAAAGTCAGATTGTTTGTGCTCAAGCAAACATGCAGTTTCTTCATTTTCAAAATGCATATAATACTTGAACCTAACTTATTAGGTTGTTGACAAGATTAAATAATACAGAGCAAGGCATAGACGTGGGTCAGTCATATAGAGCTCAATAAATATTAATAATTTGTTATTATTGTTACCATTACTATATTTTGGATTTATGTTTTCTATTAGTAGCACTGCAATACATTTTCTTATACCAAACATTTTTAATAATGTCTCACTCAAACAGATTTCCAGGAGATAAATGATTAGATTAATGATTGTGTTTAAGACCCTTGACAAATCAGTCAACTCATGTACTTCCAAATGGACTTCAAAATACAGTACATGTATAATTAATTACACTTCTACTTGCTGCACAGGAAACACTCTACTTTATAGATGACTAGTTTAATACTTTAACACTCCAATATTTGGAAAAGAGTGTGTGTTTGTCTGTGTGTGTGTGTGTGTGTGTGTGTGTGTGTGTGTGTGTGTGTTGCCCCTAGGTTCCAGATGAGTGAAATTCTGGGAGGCTTAGCTTCAAAATTAATAGCAGATGGCTCTAGAGGAGATACACTGGTTCTTACCAAGTGTCACTGGAATAACACAGGATGCTACACTGATGATATGAGATTGATGTAGAATTAGCTCAAGCTATTCTGAAGCAGCTAAAAGAATCAAGTATTCATGTGAAATGTACCTATAAAATCAATATAAATTTTTGACAGAGTAGTTAGCCATTTTCCATATTTGTATCAAGTAGTTTGGTAAGTGCCTTAGTCGTTGATATTCTTTTGAATATGAGGATCTATTTCAGGCATCAGACACACTTCAGTGTAATGATTTCATAATAGCAATTCCTGTTTGCTACTGATCCAACACATAGCCAAGATAACTTTATGATCACCTTCTGGAATTGCAAAATGCTCCCAATAAATATGGGATTTATGAGTAAATAATGCCTGCTAATGCATATGACTCATTTCAACACCCCTGGCAATCTCTCAGCTGGACATTCTTTTATTTCCTGCTTAAGTCAAGAGTAAATTGAAAACCACACAGCTAACATGACAATTGTGTTACCCTAAGAGATGAGTCATAACTGTGACATAATAATGAATCAAACTCTGGCATATCCTTTTGCAATAAAAGTTGCTGTCATGTGAGTAGACCAGTGGATATTTTATGTAAGATATTTCTGGCATTAAGTGGAACAATTTGGAGTAGGAAAGAGGATTTAATTTTAAAAGTTAATTTCTATAAAAAGTGCCTCTTTCAATAATTCCGATGTGTAATGATATGGAAATATTTTCTTGGTTCAAAATAAACATATAAATATTAAAGAAGTAAGTATAGGGTTTGCATTTTAGCTTTATCTGCATGTCACCTAACAAGTACATTAAATTTCTCAATTGAGAGAGATGATATGGCTCTGTCCTATTCATTATTAAAAGGTGATTTTTCAGCATACAAAAGAAATGTAGTGAAATATAAATTATTTTACACAGACCACATAGTAGAGGATGTCACTGTTTCTGAGAGTAGATTTGTATTGTTTGCTCTTATTTGATTTTCTCAAAAGAATGTAATGTTAATTATCAAACAAAATATTCTGGCTAATAAGTAAACCAAAGCAAAATAAAAAAAAGGTAATAATAAAAAGAAAAGGGGAGACATATAGATTACTTTGCAAAAGCCTTTGGCAGGCTGAGACTGGCAGAGCACTTGAGGTCAGGAGTTCAAGACCATCCTGGCCAACATGATGAAACCCCGTCTCTACCAAAAAAAATACGAAAATTAGCCAGGCATGGTGGCACACGCCTGTAGTCCCAGCTACTTGGGAGGCTGAGGCATGAGAATCGCTTGAACCCATCAGGCAAAGGTTGTGGTGAGCTGAGATGGCGCCACTGCACTCCAGCCTGGGTGACAGAGTGAGACTCCGTCTCAAAAACATAGTAAAATAAATAAAAATTACTCTGCAAAATGTTCCTAAATAAATGTTCTGTTACAAGTATTTTTCAGTGACAGAACATTTGTAGTAGTGATATATTTAAAACTGTGTTCTAATATCCTTTCTGTTGAGGATTATAAAAATAGCATTTGAAGTTAAACACTAGAAATGTTTATTTATAAAATATTTTCTTAATTAAAGAAATGTTAAAATTGGCATGTATTATGTTGGGTTCTTCTGAAATATGTTCTGAAGTTTCATGATAACAAAATAGATTTTTTTCTATCTGAAAATATTGAGATATGTTTCTCCCCCAAGTAGGTATGTTAAACTGTACACATTTGTAAGACTTTGGTTGCGTTGCAAGCAGATATCTTTCAAGAGACAGCTAATAATATCTGAAAGATGTTCTTTAAATCTCTAAACTAACTGTGCTGTTTGGGTCCATTTTCTATTTCAAAATTTTATTGATGATTCTGTTTCTTAAAAAATAACTTGTAATCAAATTATTCATTTTTTTAACAGTTTTCCCTTTTAATGTTACTCATAAGTTCATAGTTCCAAGTATTATATCCTATATATTAAAAATTTTAGTACATTGTATTAAAAAGTCTTGGTAGCATTGCCACATCCATCCCTCATAAAGAAGGACATCAAAATTTCAAAACATGCAGGCAATGGTACTAAAATGTTGCCTGAGCCATTATCTACAATTACTTATGTAAGACTTTATAAAAGTGAACATTCATTTAAAAATGGAATAGCATCATTTTGCATTGTGTCTTAAGTTTTGTGAAAAAGTATATTTTCCATGCTTATAAGGATTATCCGAGAGAAGTTTCCTTTATGCAGCCTTTCTCATGCTTCTTTCCTTAATTCCTAATTATATAACCATCTATATATTTCATTGACTTACATTGAAATGTTAGCTGTCCTGATATGTCTCAGCCTAATATCTAAAATTATGGTCAACTATCTTGATACTAATATGACATAACCCTTGACAATTCTGACTTTTAAAAAAATAGAGAAAAAAATTAAACTATGAAGACACTAGTTGTGAGGAGAACATCACATAGGATTTAATAAATAATATTATATAGTATAAAATCACTTTTAATACTTTTCTAAGAAAGACTTTGTGATTAGTACATAGCTATAAATCCAAGATATTTTCTGATTAACAGGCAAGATATAGAAGTGGCTTGATCTTTTGTCCTTTATGCATTATATAAAAAATTGGAGAAACATATTATTACAACAATTTTAATGTTATGTTCATTGCAGAAGTAAACTAACTACAGATTTCATAATGCTAAATTTGTTACTTGGTAAAGTAAGAATCATAATAGCCAGCCATCAGTTTATCTTTTGTGAATGACATTATATCTAGACACTACAATTTCCTAATCGATCATACAGTTTATGTAATGTTTATACTAATTAGTTAACTGATACACAAAATCAAAATGGTTATAAAATCCAATATAAAATTGACTGGAAATGCACACCTAGATATAAAGATTAATAGTAGTCTAAGTTTTAGTACTTACCTTTAATGTAAGATAAACACACTTTCTCTAGTCTAATTCTCCATGGCTATACTAATTTTTTCTTTTTGTCTGTGAGGTTACCAATTTCTACATGTAATATTAGAGGATTTTTAAGGTGTTGTTGAGAGAAGGGTATATAATTCACCAATTAAGTGTCATTTTCGTTAAAAGGACACTAAAACCTAGACATTGTCCTTCACAGGGTAAGCTAATTCTAGAGGCAGTAGATGGACCACTATTTCTAATTTCACGAATGTAGCATAGTAATTGGGAATTATATTTTTTAAAAAATAATTATTTTTAATTGATAAATTACAGATTACGTATCTTTGGTATACAATGTGATGTTTTGATTTATATGCATACAAACATAGGAACATAAACATAGTGGGATGATTAAATCAAACTAATAATCATATTCATGACCTCACATATTTATCATTTTTTAATGAGAACATTTCAAATCTACTCTGAGCAATTTTAAGTATATTATACATTACCAATTATGATCACTATACTGTACAATGTATCTCCAGTACTTATTTCTCCTATCTAACTGAATGAAACTTTTTACCCTTCAACTAATCTCTCACACTCTGTAATTAAAGAAATGCTGCTTTTAACTTCAGATTGTGAGAAGCAAAATTCTGCCTCTACCACTTAATAGCATTGCAACATAGGGAAAAAAAAATGTGGTTAATGTGACTAGTTAAATATTTTTGTTAGTTATTAAATGGAAAAATAAAATGTACCCCCAGTTATTGTTTAGTGGGGAAAAATGATAAAAATAGTTTAAATTTTTGGTACATATTAAATAATAAATAAGAGCTAATCATCATCAATTATTTGAGAATTTACAGAAACTTATTTTGATAAATTAACCTGTAAAAATGCCATGATTATGATTATCATTGGTGTGTATATATAGAGAGATACATCTATCTATCTATCCAAACACACCCCTCCCACACTGCTACATATAAATCTATATATTTAATGGATACACAACTTCCAAATAAATCCAGAGATTAAAAAGGAGACTTTATAACTGATACTGCAGAAATTCAAAGAATCATTGGTGGCTACTATTAGCAACTATATGCCAATAAATTGAACAATCTAGAATAAATGAATACCTAGATAAATACCACCTACCAAGATTGAACCAGAAAGAAATAAAAAAACTGAACAGACCAATAAAATGTAATGAGATCAAAGCCATAATAAAGTCTCCCAATAAAGAAAAGACCAGGACTTGATGGCTTCACTGCTGAATTCTACCAAACACTTAAAGAACTAATACCAATCCTCCTCAAACTATTCCAAAAAACAGAGGAGGAGGAAATATTTAAAAAGTCATTATGCAAGGCCAGTATTACACTGATACCTAAACCAAAGACATCACAAAGAAAGAAAACTACAGGCTAATATCTCTGATGGATATTGAATCAATAATCTCCAATAAAATACTAGCAAACCAAATTCAACAATATGTTAGAAAGATCTTTCATTATGACCAAGTGGGATTTATCCCTGGGATGCAAGGATGGTTCAATACATGCAAATCAATCAGTTCAATACATCATATCAATAGAATGAAGGATAGAAACCATATGACCATTTCAATCGATGCTGAAAAAGCATTTGATAAAGTTCAACATCGCTTCACAATAAAAAGTCTCAAAACTGGGATAGAAGGAATATTCCTCAATGTAAAAGAGCCACATATTCAGACCCACGGCTAGTATCAAACTGAATGAAGAAGAACTGAAAGCCTTTCCTCTAAGATCTGGAACATGACAAGGATGCCCACTTTCAACACTGTTATTCAACATAGTCCTAGAATTCCAAGCTAGAGCATCAGACAAGATAAAGATATAAAGGGCATCAAAATTGGAAAGGAAGAAGACAAATTATTATAGTTTACAGGCGATATATAGTCTTATACTTGAAAAAACCTAAAGACGCCACAAGAAAACTATGATAACTGATTAACAAGTCCAGTAAAGTTTCAGGATACAAAAATGAGTAACATTATGCCAACAGTGAACAATGTGAAAAGGAAATAACAAAGTAATCCCATTTACAATAGCAATGCATAAAATTAAATACCTAGGAATTAACCAAAGAAGTAAAAGATCTCTATAATAAAAACTATAAAACAATGAAGAAAAAAATTGAAGAGGATACCAAAAATGGAAAAATATTCCCTGTTCATTGATCAGAAGATTCAGTATTGTTAAAAGTCCGTACTACACAAAGCAATCTACAGAGTCAATTCAATTGCTATCAATATACCAGTGAAATTCTTTATAGAAATAGAGAAAACAATTCTCTAATTATAAACAAAAGACCCAGAATAGCTAAAGCTCTCCTAAGAAAAAAAAAACAAAAGAGAAATCACATAACCTGACTTCAAATTAGACTACAGAGATATAGTAATCAAAACATCATGGTACTGGCATAAAAATAGACATGTGGACAAATGGAAAAGAACAGAGAACTCAGAAAAAAATTCAGACACCACAAGATGCCAAGAATATACACTGGGGGAAAGACTGTCTCTTTAATAAATGGTGCTGGGAAAACTGGATATTCATATGCAGAAGAATGAAACCAGACCCCTGTATCTAGTCACATACAAAAATCAAATCAAAATGGATTAAAGACTTAAATCCAAGACCCAAAACTATGAAACTTCTATAAGAAAACATTGGGGAAAGTCTTCTGGACATTTGTCTTGGCAAAGATTTCTTGAAAAATACCATACAAGCACAGGTAACCAAAACCAGTGTGGACAGATTGGTTCACATCAAGTTAAAAAGCATCTGCAGAGCAAAGGATGCAATCAACAGAGTGAAGAGACAACCCACAGAATGGGAGAAAATTATTTGCAAACTACCCCTCTGACAAGGGATTACTAACCAGAATATGTAAGGAGCTCAAACAACTCTATAGAGAAAAAAAAATCTAATAATTTGAATAAAAAATGGGCAAAAGATATGAATAGACATTTCTCAAAATAAGACATACTAATGGCAAACGGACATATGAAAAGATGGTTAATATCATTGAATGTCAGAGAAATGAAAATCAAAAAACTTCAATAAGATATCATTTTACCCCCAGTTAAAATGACTTATATCCAAAGACAGGCAATAACAAATGCTGTTGAGGATGTTGAGAAAAGGGATTCCTCATACACTATTGGTGAGAATGTAAATTAGCACAACCACTATGGACAACAGTTTGGAGATTACTCAAAAAACTAAAAACTGAGTCACTGTATGATCCAACAATCTAACTGTAGGGTATATACCCAGAAGAAAGGAAATCAGTACATGAAAAAATATCTCTGCTCCTATGTTTGTTGCAGCACTGTTTGCAATAACTAAGATTTGGAAGCGACCTATGTGACCATCAACAGATTACTGGATAAAGAAAATGTGGTATATATACACCATGGAGTACTATCCAGCCACAAAAATCAAAAGGATCCAGTCATTTGCAACAACATGCATGGAATTGGACGTCATTACTTTAAGTGAAGTAATCCAGGCACAGAAAGACAAACATTGCATGTTCTCACTTACTTGTGGGATCTAAAAGTCAAAACAATTGAACTCATGAACATAGAGAGTAGAAGGATGGTTACTAGAGGCTGGGAAGGGTAGTGCGGGGCTGAGGGGAGGTGGTGATGGTTAATGGGTACAAAAAGAAATAGAAAGAATGAATAAGACCCCTATTAGATAACATAATAAGATGACTATAGTCAATTTTAAAATAACTTAAAGAGTGTAATTGGATTCTTTGTAATCCAAAGGCAAATGCTTGAGGGGATGGATACCCCATTCTTCATGACGTACTTATTTGACCTAACATGCCTGTATCAAAACATCTCATATACCCCGTAAATATATATACTTACACATAAAATTACATATATGTACACATAAAAATTAAAAATAAAAAAGAATCAAAAAAATTTGGAGATATACTCGTATCCCAAAATGTTAGATAAAACTGATGTTATTATTTTCAATTAATACAATTTATGCACAGACAGGCAGGCAGTTATATAACAAATCTGCTAACTGGGTTTTGCTCAGAATGAAATGTCTAAAACAAAGTGGGACATGAATAATCATCAATGGCAGGAATAATCAGGTTTTTTATTCCTAAAGAATTTTCTCTCATGCTAATCTCTACCCCACCACCATATATGCAATTTCTGCTTACAAATGTGAACTTCAGAAAATTTTTATTTTTGTAAAACTCATGTTTACGTCTTATTTTTTATAACACTGTATTAATATCATAAAGGTGCAATCTAGGTGGTTTCGTACTTGAAAATTAGTTACAGAGCATCTTGTTAGAATGCAAAGAATGAGTGTTCTAAAAGCAGTGGTTCTGTTACTGGCAGAGCATCCATATGGGTCTGCAAAAACCTCAATTCTTGCCTACTCAGGAGAAAGAATTTGACCAAGGAGGCATGAGGCAGAAGGAGAGACTGAGGCAAGTTTTAGAGCAGGAATGAAAGAAAGTAAAGTACACTTGGAAGAGGGCCAAGCGGTGACTTGAGAGATCAAGTGCTTAGTTTCACATTTGACTTGGGGTTTTATATATTGGCTCACTTCCCATGTCTTGCATCCTTTCTCCCCTGATTCTTCCCTTGGGGTAGGCTGTCCTCATGCACAGTGGCCTGGTAGCACTTGGGAGGGGAGCATGCACAGTGTGTTTACTGGAGTTGTACACGTGCTCACTTGAGGCATTCTTCCCTTACCAGTCTAGCATTCCTAGAGGAAGGTCAGATACCGGTTAAACTACACAATTTTGCCTCTTAATGCACATGCTTGAGCCCATTTGCCCAGTTCCTGAGATCTTATTGGGAAGCTGCTAATCACCAGTTTCAGTTCTATCTATTAGGAGACAGGCCATCTATGATTAACTAGTATTTTAAAGAGACAGTTAACAACCACCTGGCCCTCACCTGATGGTCACCTGACATTCCTAGTGTGTGTGTTGAGCGGGGGGAGGAGCCCTCTTCTGTGCTGCTCATGCCTGACTAGCTACCTACTGTAAATAACAGTTCTAGGCACAAACTTTGGCTCTGAGACTTACTAGTTATTTGGCATTGAACAAATAAATTAACACCTCCAGAGACAACTGTAAATTGGAATGGCACATTTGTCCAGACCATGGCAGAGAAAAGGTAAAGGGTAATTTGGGGTGGGACTATGGCATTAACCAACGTATGGAAGTGAATATTCAATGCCAGGCTTGGCAAAATATGAACAAATACTGTGGCAGAAAGTGGTTCCAGAAGAAAGACATTTGAATCTTGTCCTGTAGATACTAGTGGTGCTTTAAAATTTATTAAGCAAGACATGAATAAAGCAATGGAACATTAATTTTGTAGAGATGCACAAAGTAATTTGAAGCTGAATATAATAAAACCAGTAATGGCATCTAGAAAAAACAGTTGCATTGAACATATGTGTTTACCTCCATCCTCCTCCAAGACTCAGTCAAATAATAATAAACTTATAAAATAAGAAAACATAAACAAAGAATTACAAAAACCCATAGGAAAACAGGAACAAAATCAGTAAATCTGGAAAGGGAATAGGCAAAAGGTAGTAGAAAATTCATAAAAGGTAAGCCTTCCTGGAATAATCATGGAAGAATCCTGATTTGTGTAAATTAATTCCAAAATGATGCACAAATTAAAAGAAGCAGTCATCACAGAGTTGATGGAAAAGTGAAGCAGACAAGTATTATTTGGAAGTCTGCTTAACAGGCAGACAAAATTTTCTATCAATATTGACAGAAAGAAAATTATCCCTCCAAAGCAAGAGAAAATATTAGAGCCTGTTCCTTGCAGTCAGTAAAACATGAGAAATATGAAAATGGGAAAACTTTGCACAGATGTGAGTGGGGTACCTTACACAAATAGGCATAGTCAGAGAAGTCTATCAACCGAATGGTGAGAGCTACCCTAATCTCAGTTCTATTCCCTCAGCAGGCTTTGAAAAAATCATTGAGGATTATACAGTCCTTTCAATCAGAATATTAAAAACTTCCTTTGTAGAAAGCCCAACCTGTGGGATAAAGGAAGAAAGAAAAGAATAAAAGATGAAAAAAAAGGAAAGGAAGGAAGAAAACTTGAGAATTTGCAATACCCTAGTGACACAGCCTAATCAAATACCCAATAAAACTCTCTGCTCTTCAAGCCATGTTATGCACACAGAGTTCTTCGATTAGTGTGCAGCCAAAGAGCAGAAAACATTTGTAAAACAAAACAAAATAAAATAAAATGTCAATTAAAAGGTAAAGATATACAACCAAACAGACAGGAAAATCAAACCAAGGCTGTAAGGACAGTCTGTCAAACAAGAGATGACCTCAACACATGTATACACCATCCATACTACGCAGCCTCTAAGAGTGATCCCTGTCCCTAGCCTTCGTGACTGTTTTAATCTGTTTTTATACTGCTCTAAAGACTGGGTAATTTATAAAGAAAACAGATTTAATTGAATCACCACTCTATGGCTGGGAAGGCCTCAGGAAACTTACAATCATGGCAGAGGGTGAAGGGGAATCAAGGAGAAGTGCCCAGCGAAGGGGGAAGGGCCCCTTATAAAACCATCAGATCTCCTGAGAACTCACTATCAGGAGACCAGCATAGGGGAACCTCTCCACGATTCAATTACCTCTACCTGGTCTTTCCCTTGACACATGAGGATTATGGGTATTATGGAGATTATGGGGATTACAATTCAAGATGAGATTTAGTGGAGACACAAAGCCTAACCATATTAATGACCTTGCATACATCTCTTTCTTTGAATAACTTGCTACCAAAATCAGTATAGGAGGCTTGCAGCCTGTGCACGTGGGGTGAGTGGGGAGAAAGGAAGGATTCACTTCCTTCCCTCTTGGGCTAGGAAGGCGTCACCAGGAAAGCACCCACAGCAGGTAGGGGCAACCTCAGGGCTCCCAAGGACCAGAGATCCCACAGGACGATCCTGCCATTGCAAGAGGCTACCGACTGAGGCCCCTTTCATGCCTCCCCGACCGCAAATATTCCCCCTACAAGGCCCGTCCCAAACAATTCCTGCTGTGCACATTGATGTTCTCATGCCTTGTAGCATGTCGAGCTCTGTCTCGTCTTGCACGTGGGGACTTAGCATTTAATCACCCTTAAAAACCCATCCAAGACCTGTCCCCATTAAATGATGCTGCCACACTGCAGCGACCCGAAGAGGAGGCCTCCATCTCTGACCCACCCACTACCTACCACAGAAACTCCACAGTGGCTTCCCAGCCTAGGCGTTATCCTGAGATGCCACTCAGTGAATCTGACACACGTGGGGGCGACCCTTCGAGGCCTCCCTCCAACATCCCACCCACCCTCCAGGGGAGACCAGGCCTCCCACTCAGATGGTGGCTCCCAGCTACCACAAAAGTAAAGTAAAATAAGTATTTTTAAAATGTCACTTCTGTGATTAGGTATTTATCATCTTGCTATTGGACTCTCTCTATTGCCCAGATTCTTGACCCACAAAAACTGTGAGGTAAGAAATGTAACAAATATGTGTTATTTAAAATGACAAGTTTGGGGTGTGTTTTGTTGTGCCCCATTAGTTAACATGCACACACAAACAGACATACATGCACACACATATACACATACATGCTGATAAAATACAATACGTGCTTTCAGAAATTTCTTAAAATCCAAACAAAGAAGAGAGAAAAAAAGATAGAAAAGGGTATACTATCTCTTATTTCTTTGAACGTTCTACATTCTGGTATGAATATTTTATTATTTGATTATATATAAATAAATATACACATGCATACATACTCACATATTTATATATAGGTAAACATACACACGTATATATATTATATATAAAATACATATACCCATTATAAATATGTATTATATATAATATATATAAAATATAAAATATATATAATATATATAATATATACTCATTATAAATATATATTTATATATGTAAATTATATATATTTGTGTATAAATATATTATATATTTTTATATATTTGTATATAAATATATATTATATATTTTTATATATTTATATATTATATATTATAATATATATTATAGATTATATTATATATTATAATACGTATTATAATACATATTATATATTATAATATGTATTATAATATATATTATATATTATAATATATAATATATATTATAATATATAATATTATATATTATAATATTATATATTATAATATATAATATTATATATTATAATATATATTATATATTATATATTATATATTATATTATATATTATATTATATATATTGTATTATATATTATATTATATTATATATATTATATTATATATTATAATATACATTATATATTGTAATATATATCATATATTATATTATATTATATTGTATTATATACATTATATATTATAATATATATTATATATTTTATATTATATTATATTATATAAAATATATTTTATATTATATTATAATATAAAATATATTTTATATTATAAATATTATAATATATTATCATATATTTATATATTATAAATATTATAATATTTATAATATTTATAATATATTTATATATTATATATTATAAATAATATTTATATTTATATATTATATTATATATTAATATCTAAATATACATATTATATATTATACATGTATATATTATATATACATATTTACATATAAATATATATTATATATCTAATATATTAATATAATTATATATATAATATATAATATATATAATTATATTATATATTAGATATATAATTTATATATTATATATAAATAAAATATATATTATATATAAATTATATATAATATATTTATATATTTTTATATATTTATAAAAATACATATAACATATATATCATTATAAATATATATGTTGTATATATATATAATGGGTGTGTGCGTATATATGTATATATACATACGTATATGTATATATGTGTGTATATACATATACATACATACGTATATATGTGTATATAGACATATATACACATATATACGTATATATACATACATATACGTATATATACATACATATAAGTATATACGTATATATACGTATATATATGTATACGTACATACGTACGTACGTATACATATATACATATCGTATATACATGTATTAGGTCATTCTCATGCAGCTATGAGGAAATACCCCAAACTGGGTAATTTTTAAAGAAAACAGGTTTAATTGACTCACAGTTCTATATAGTTGCGGAGACCTCAGGAAACTTACAATCAGTCTTCACAGGGTGGCAGGAGAGAGAATGAATGCCAGCAGGGGAAATGCCAGATGCTAATAAAACTATCAGATCTGAATCTCGTGATAACTCACTCACTATCATCAGAACAGCATGGGGGAAACGGCCCCCATGATTCAATTCCCTACAGGATCCCTCCCACAACACATGGGGATTATAAGGATTACAACTCATGATGAAATTTAGGTGGGGACACAGCCAAAACATATCAACCCATATGTAGAGAGAAACATATAGAGAAATATTTTTTGTCAATGTTATATTTTTAGGGAGTGTCTTCTAATTTCTTTCAACTAATCTTCTTCTTTTTTTTTTTTTTTTTTTTTGAGACAAAGTCTTGCTCTGTCACCCAGGCTGGAGTGCAGTGGTGCAATCGTGGCTCACTGCAACCTCTGCCTCCTGGGTTCAAGTGATTCTCATGCCTCAGCCTCCCAAATATCTGGGATTAGAAGCATGTGTCACCTTTCTCAGCTAATGCTTTGTATTTTTAGTAGAGACGGGGTTTCTCTGTGTTGGTCACAAACTCCTGGCATCAAGTGATCCACTTGCCTTGGCCTCCCAAAGTGCTGGGATTACAGGCCTGAGCCACCACAGCTGGCCGTCTTCCTACCAATCTTCTATTAAAGATTTTATCTGTGAATTTCTCCAGTCTTTTATGTCCCTGTCTTTGCCTCTGCCGTTGCATCATGATCAATTATTAGATATTTAATATGATAGAATAATCATTGGGAATAATTTCATTCCAATTCTAAAATCAATATCAATCAATGACAAGTATGTTTATACCTCCTATTAACTCAAAAAAGTACCTTCCCTCATTGGGACAACGCCATGGGGGTGGTGAGCAAATACAGGTGATGTATACAAAGAAGATGGCAAAATACATCCTCAGAAGCTAAAGCGTATCCTCATATTGGGGCTGTATGTGTTGAACTCCAGCAAACCATAAGATAGAATACTTTTTAATGTATCTTGGTTTTCCAGTACTTTATTTGGGATGAGTTTGATCCATGGAAATAGATTATTTCAGCATGTCTTACATTTTGGGTATCATTGAAAAATTTGTACAGTTTTATGATAAGCATATCCTAAATTTTTCTCACATTTTACTGATTAATTTCTACTCACCTTTCAGTACTTAAGTCAAATTGTACATCCACCAAAGTTCTTTTACTAATCTTTAGTAAAGACTTGGAATCACTGGCTGGGTTGCTAATTATTTTTCTTGTATTCTTTCTCTGCATATCTTAGAATTATAAACAGTTAAGTTTGGTACTTGGCCAATTGCAATGTTCTGCTAGTTTCCCATGAAAGTGATTCTGGTGTCCTTAGCTGGGTTAATAACACCTTTTCATAATGTTACTAAATATCCAGAACAATAATCTATCATTCACGTAACACACAATATTCCAGGACATCTAAGGCCTTGGAGCTGGTGTTGGTTCAGCCACCCCAAATGTTGTTACTGAATGACGAGAGGTGAATGCAGTTAAGGTATTTTGAAAACACAATGTTGTATCCCATGAGAGATGATTAGTTGGGAATATATTCTGCCAATAGATTCAGTTCTGTCTGAGTATGTCATAAAGTTTCTCATGACTGTCTTTCTTGAATATTAGGTGTAAATAATGAGATATTTGGCCAGCATTTTATGACAATATTCACCTACTCAGATCCTACTGTGATTCTGTAGGTGCCTGATTTTGTAGTGTTCAAACCCCATTTTTTACCTAGAGTAGTCAAAACAGCTTTGTTGTTGCAGCCACATCAAGCAAGCAGCAGCGACGTGTTTCTCTTCAACACGGATAATTGCCTTAACAATACGTCATCCTGGTTCACAACAACGCAGTAGATATGCTGACCACTGACAGTAACAAAATGACCTGCATGGTTCAAAGGTAGAAATTTCAAGTCTGTAAAAGAATGCATATAATAAGCATAATAACCAAAAAATAACTCAATCAACATCAAACAGCTATTATTTACAATGGTGATTAAATGATGTTTGGTGCCATCTTTTTACTAAATCACATATATAGGTACCTTGAAAAATCCTTTTAAACTGATTTATATAAAATTAATCTTCTTATAGGAAATCAAACCTGTGAGCTTTCCCAGCAGCAGCTATGCCATGGTATCACATCTGAAAGTAGCAGTGAAGTGTATTATTCTCCTGTCGTAAGATTGTATTATGAGAGAGAAAAAAAAAAGGTATTTTCTCAACCAAAATTTCTCATTAATATGGGTCATCAACTGCTACAATTTCTCCATGTTCTTCCCATTTATTACCTATCTTAAGCCAGAATCAGTACCCAAATGAGAGCCTCTTTTTTGAGTAGCAGGATTGGAACTGCTGTTTCTTGCTATATTTTCTATCCTCAATATGGAGACAAAGGAAGACAAGGCTGCTTCTGTGACTAAAAATCACTACTTACCATGATTTAGCCAATAAGATGGGATTACTCTCTGACTCATTTTACTTTAGAAAATTCACAAAGTTCATAGGCACTGAGAAAGTACTCTGCACACCAGTGCTTATTCTGCCAAGCACAAAATGAGCAGTCCTAGACCACTCTATTTCCATATAATGGAATAATGTGCCTGTTGGGAAAAACAGGGAACTGGAAGATTCCATCATCCTCCACGCCTTCATTCCTAGCACTACATCCCCACAATTTTTCCAAAGATATCCTCTTTTCCACCCTCACATTTAGATGAAGAACAAATTCACCCATTTACACTAACCAACACTTCTCACCCATATTACGTTTTTATTTCTATTAACAGATATTTGTTTTTTAACCCCAATTCTCAAAGAAATGCCTTTTAGACCATAAAGAATAGCATTCATCCGATGGGCGGGGTGGCTCACACCTGTAATCCCAGCACTTTGGGAGGCCAAGGCGGGTGGATCATGAGGTCAGGAGATCGAGACCATCCTGGCTAACACGGTGAAACCCTGTCTCTACTAAAAATACAAAAAATTAGCCGGGTGTGGTGGTGGGCGTCTGTAGTCCCAGCTACTTGGGAGGCTGAGGCAGGAGAATGGTGTGAACCTGGGAGGCGGTGGAGCTTGCAGTGAGCCAAGACCGCACCACTGCACTCCAGCCTGGGCAACAGTGCAAGACTCCGTCTCAAAAAAAAAAAAAAAAAAGGATAGCATGCATCTGCTTGATGTAATTCTTTTTAGAACATTTTGGATTGCTGGCAGGAAGGAAATGCATTCTTTGTTCTGTTAATATATAACTGGGGAGAACAAATTGATGCAAAATACTTTATTCTATACTTTTAATAACATTCTCTGCTGCTGATTCAGGTAAGCAGTAAACAGAGCCCAAAACGGATTGCATAAGTACTACAGTGACAATCCATTTGAAGCCACCTGGATTTCTTTATAAAGCTCCTGTAGAGTACCACTCCCTGCTAAGTGTGAGAATTTCTCAGGAAATCTTACTCAAATTCAATTTCCTGTTAACAGTCTATATGGTCTTTTATTACATTAGCAGCATTAGTAGAGGCTAGAGGTATACAGCCTTTCCTGTCCAATGTTGCATAACCTGAACATATCTGTGCCTGCTCATTTCAAGTAGCTACCTCCAGGGCCTAAGCAAGGGCATCAGTCTTCACATTCCTGCCACTTTCTGAGCAGTAACTATTCATTATCCACATAACTTACTTTAATTCTTCCTTGAAATTTCCACTTGGAATTTTACAATTGTATTAACAATATAAGGATACCCTTGGAATCCAATCATCCAAGACAGGGCTGGCAAACTCTATAATAAATAATTATTTTATTTTGTAAGATTTTCTTGACGCATTAAAATCCAAGAGTATTAAAATACTTTTGATAACTCCATCAAGAAATGGTCTTCTTTTAAAGTACAGTGAAGACTGGAGTCATTTTTAGCCCCATATATAGCAGCTATGGATCATCTACTGACCTTGTAAAGGAGATGGTATCAGCATCTGTCCTTATGCCTTAATATAGAACAAAGCTATTGATGATGGTCCAAGAGTTCATGTATATCCAAATATTATCCATCTCTTTACCCAAATGAACTTCTTCAACTGATGTTTTATCATCTGCAGAAAGAATGGCTGCATTATTACATACTGCTTTCTTCCCTTAATTTGAGACGCTCATTCATGAATTGGGTTGTGTAGGGGAGGAAAAAATAATTTCCCCTTTATTTTTCTGAATTTATAGTTGAGACCCCTATAACAAAAGGCTGATTAACAAGAGAAAAAAAAATGACAGAAGTTAACATGTTATAACCCATGTATACATGGAACATACCCAGGCAAACATGAGTAAATATTAAAGAGGTGGCTTAAAATGCTGACTTATGTAGCATCATTAACAAAAAACAACATATTGTTATAGAAGCAGCAAGACACAGAAAAAGGACCTTGAATATCTAGTGAGAAGGCAAATAAATGGCAAACTGAAGGTACGTAAAAGCTAGTAAGTAAAGTTTGTGAAATAGATTCATCTGGTGGTGTCTCCAGGCTGATAAAAGTTGAAAGCTTTCTATGATGATCAACTTTTGTCCTTTCTCATTAAAAGGAGGAGTAAATTTGTATCCTGTGTAAATTTATGTCCTGCTTTTAGGCAAGTGGGTGAGGGCACAGAGCTTTTCTTCTATCTGTTTCTTATCAGTTGCCTTCAGCTCAAAAGAATTCTTACGCCAAAGTGGCATATTTTGGATGGCATTATGTGACCCTTTGGGCACCTGCTCTGCTTTAACTCTGAGGCTCAGACTATTCCTTATTAAAAGCTACTAGTTTTTCCAGAAGTTTTATCATTTTTCCCAGAAACAGGATGGCAAATTTTTCATGAGTACACTATAGTCTTCCAGAACTACAGCCTGTCGCCTGTTTTGGCATATGCCATTTCCACTTCATGAATGAATTCTGACCAGCTACTTAACATATCAAAATAAATATTTCTAATGTTACTACAATACTTAATAATACTTACTTAAGGTATACTAGGTACCTTAAGTCTAAAAATTATTTGATATTTCTCAATATTTGCAGCTGTCTCCTCTAAAACCTCATGAAAAGCCACTAAATTTTTTTGAGAAAAGTGTATCTTGCTCCAGTGTTAGGTAGCTTGTTCAAAATCCTAGTATTTGCTGCTACTTGGAGAGACTCAAGATTGCACATATCTATATGCCCGACCTTTCCCCTGTATTGTGTGCTTTAATATGCATTCATATGGCCCCAAACAGTACTACATGTGATATACTATGCTGTAAGATTCCAAAGATAGTTTTAATTCCATATTCTATTTAAATTCATTTCAGGGAATTGGGTTACAAGAGGGTTATCTTATGAATTGGGCCTAGCAGAAAGTACAGATATAGATATTATAGTAGAATTATAGTATATTATACATTTTTATTATTAGTTTGGTTTATTTCTGTATGTGATATGACTTTCATGGCCCCAAGATATATTATATTAGTGAATTATCCGGTGGATACCAATATTGTAGCCAATTTAATTAATCTAGGCTATGATATGTACTATTACACTTCTCCAACATTTCTTAGCCTTTCTCTCTCAAATGGAAATTTTCATAATCTCTTCATTATAATAAATTAATTCCTTTTTGTGGTGGAGAACTCAGGTATCTTTAGGAAAGGAAATATGATTATATCATCACCTACCATTCTATTTATCTAACTTTACTGTCATGAGCATTAGTTATGTTTAGACAGATTGCCTGTTAGGCTTCCTGAAGAGTATTCACCATCTTTGGCATGAACTGCTTTACAATAAACTTTCAGTTTCTACAGGCAAGTCACTGTTTTCACATCTAAGAGAAGAATGTTATAAAATTAGTGAGACTTCTGATTATATCAATTATAGTTAAATATAAACTTTCAAGTTTTTCTTTTTTATAAGATGAATACACGGGCAGGATTTGTCAATTACAAAGATTTCCATTTAGCATGAGTAATTAAGAAGCAAAAGGTAGACTTGCCTGACATTCAGCTATGTACTTACAATCTATTCACACATCAAATACATCTAATTAAGAAATCAGATACAAATTATGCCACCAGAGGGTTGTTCCTTCTTTCTTTCTCTTTCCTTCCTTCCTTTCTTTTCTTTTTCTTTCTTTTCTCTTTCTTTCTTTTTCTTTCTTTCTTTTCTTCTCCTTCCTTCCTTCCTCTCTTTCTCTCTTTTTTTGTCTTGCTTGCTTGCTTGCTTTCCAATCTAAATTATCACCTTAACTCTAATTATTTTTTATCAGGGCATCACTGGTCACTCCAGGTTTTACATTTAGTCTTCTAAAATTTTCTCTTGTTCGCAGACATATCACAGTATATGATCATCACATACAAACATTCCAAAATTTAAATTTGAATATGTATTTTGTAGTCTGTTCTCATGTGCTGATAAAGACGTACCCAATTTACACAAGAAAGAGGTATAATGGACTTACAATTACACATGGCTGGGGAGGCCTCACAATCATTTCAGAAGCAAGGAGGAGCAAGTCACGTCTTACATGGATGGCGGCAGGCAAAGAAAGATAACTTGTGCAGGGGAACTCCTTTTTTTTAAAACCATCAGATCTTGTGAGACTTATTCACTATCACTAGACCAGCATGGGAAAGACCTGCCCCCATGATTCAATTACGTCCCACCAGGTCTCTCCCACAACACTTGGGAATTCAAGATGAGATTTGGGTGGGGACACAGCCAAACCATATCATTCCACTCCAAATATCATGTCCTCACATTTCAAAACAAATCATGCCTTCCAACAGTCCCCCAAAGTCTTAACTCATTTCAGCATTAACTCTAAAGTCAACAGTCCAACATCTCATCTGAGACAAGGCAAGTCCCTTCAGCCTATCAGACTGTAAAATCAAAATCAAGTTAGTTACTTCCTAGATACAATGGGGGTATAGGCATTGGGTAAATAGAGCCATTCCAAATGGG
This sequence comes from Homo sapiens, assembly GCF_000001405.40. Classification (NCBI taxonomy): domain Eukaryota; kingdom Metazoa; phylum Chordata; class Mammalia; order Primates; family Hominidae; genus Homo; species Homo sapiens. Next base: position 35,670 of record NW_009646199.1, on the reverse strand, counting down.
AGAAATTGGCCAAAACAAAGGGACTACAAACCTCATGTAAGTCCAAAATCTAGAAGGACAGTCAAATCTTAAAGCTCCAAAATGATCTTCTTTGACTCCAATTCTCACATCTGGGTCATGCTGATGCAACAGTTGGGTTCCCATGGTCTTGGGCAGCTCTGCCCCTGTAGCTGTGCAGGGTACAGCCTCCCTTCTGGCTGCTTTCATGGGCTGGTGTTGAGTGTCTGTGTCTTTTCCAAGTGCATAGTGCAAGCTGTCAGTGGGTCTACCATTCTGGGGTCTGGAGAATGGTGGCCCTCTTCTCAAAGCTCCACTAGGCAGTGTCCCCAGTGGGGCTCTGTGTTGGGGCTCCAACCCACATTTCCCTTCTGTACTGCCCTAGTAGAGGGCCCTCTATGAGGGCCCCGCCCCTGCAGCAAACTTCTGCCAGGGCACCCAGGTGTTTCCATACATCATTTGAAACATAGGTGGAGGTTCCCAAACCTCAATTCTTGACTTCCTTGCACTCACAGGCTTAACACCTTGTGAAAGCTGCCGAGACTTGGGGCTTGCACCCTTTGAAGCCATGGCCTGAACTGTACCTTGGACCCTTTCAGCCACAGCTGGAGTGGCTGGGACACAGGATGCCAAGTCCCTAGACTGCACACAGTAGAGGGAACCTGGGCCAGCCCCACAAAACCATTTTTTCCTCCTAGGTCTCTGGGCCTTTCATGGGAGGGGGCTGCCACAAAGGTCTCTGATGTCCTGGAGATATTTTTCTCATGGTCTTGGTGATTAACATTCAGCTTCTCATTACTTATGCAAATATCTGCAGGCAGCTTGAATTTTTCCTCAGAAAATGGGTTTCTATTTCCTATTGCATTGTCAGGCTGCAAATTTTCTGAATTTTGATGCTGTTTCCCTTCTAAAACTGAATGCCTTTAACAGCACCCATCACTTCTTGAATGCTTTGCTGCTTAGAAATTTCTTCCTCCAGATACCCTAAATCGTCTCACTCAATTTCAAAGTTCCACGAATCTCTAGGGCAGGGGAAAATGCCACCAGTCTCTTTGCTAAAAACATAGCAAGAGTCACCTTTGCTCCAGTTCCCAACAAGTTCTTCATCTCCATCTGAGACTATCTCAGCCTGGATTTCATTGTCCATATCATTATCAGCATTTTTGTCAAAGCCATTCAGCAAGTCTCTAGGGAGTTCCAAAATTTTTCACACTTTCCTGTCTTCTTTTGAACCCTCCAAACTGTTCCAACCTCTGCCTGTTACCCCATTCCAAAGTTGCTACCACTTTTTCAGGTATCTTTTCAGTAGCACCCTACTCTACTGGTACCAGTTTACTGTATTAGTCCATTCTCATGCTGCTGATAAAGACATACCCGAGACTGGGCAATTTACAAAAGAAAGAGGTTTAATGGACTTACAGTTCCACGTGGCTGGGGAAGCCTCACAATCATCATGGAAGGAAAGGAGGAGCAAGTCACATTGTACGTTGATGGTGGTAGGCAAAGAGAGCTTGTGCTGGAGAACTCTTCTTTTTAAAAACATCAGATCTCATGAGACTTATTTACTATCATGAGAACAGCATGGGAAAACCTGACTCCATGATTCAGTTACCTCCCTCCAGGTCCCTCCCACAACACATGGGAATTCAAGATGAGATTTGAGTGGGGACACAGAAAAACGATATCATGTATGGTTTAAAAATTTAAAGGAAATTTAGTATAATTTAGGCAGTTATCAGGGAAAATACATCAAAAAGTATTGTTCAAAAAATAAAGTTAAGAAGATAAGCAGTTTTGTCATACACTAACTGAAATTCTCTTAATATATTTAAATGTCATTATTGTGAAAGAACATATGTATATTTTATGTTTCAAAGTTTAGGAAGCTGTAGTCAAACTGTTAGTTACTTTCATTTAGAATTACAATTTTTAAGTTGTTTCTCATTGAGTCTCATTGTCATCTAGATCTTCTGTTAAATACTTTATTTCCTAAATGCTGCACCATAACAAAGCATCAAAAGTCTTCTTATGCTGTTGGATTTCAATGGATCAGGAAAATTTTTGCTAAATAAATGCATTATTATATGGTTAAATTGTGTGGATTAACTTTATATACTTAAAAAGAGACATACAGACCATTTAAAACTTTTTTTAAATTTCCTTTCTCTCAGGCTTGAAGGTTATTTACAAAGAGTGAAATTGCATTAAATTGATTGACTTTACCTACTTTATGGCAGTACTCCACAGAATAATTAAGATATCTTTCTAAAAAATCATTACAAACAACGCTAGCCTCTGATCAATTCAGTCCAATTAAGACGAACAAGGATTTCTGATCACATGCTTTAGTGGGTAAAGTGTAATTTAGTTCAATTTTAACATCCCTTCCACGCTGTAATATTTTTTCAATTTTCATCACTTTAACTTTTTAACTTCTTAATCTATTGTCTAGCATGCATTTTCCTGTACGTAGATTTATCTATATCTAAAGTTGCTACTAAGATTTTAGAATTTCATATGTATTATTATTTATACACACCATAAACAAAAAAGAGTTGAAAATTAACATCTACGCCAAGGTTATTTAGGAAATTAGATTATATGTTCCATTTTATAATTAAATAAAAATTTTGAGGGAAATTAGAAAAATAAAACTATTTGTGATTAAATTTTCTTGTTATAAAATGTTCTTAATATTTAGATAAATGCAAATTTGGAATGTAGATTTCCATTTATTTATACACATATATATTAGATAGGTATAGATATAAACACATATATATATATACACACACACAAAACCATATAATGGCTTCTACATGTACACTGAAAGAATTGTTTCTATCAACTAATATGACAATTTCCCTAGGAGACTATAATATTAACATATCTACCATAGCTGTATCTGTATTTGTATTTATAGCTCCTTACTAATCGTTGGCATTGTTCATGGTTCTAATATTTGACTCTTTTTAATCTTCTTTCAGCTGAAGTTTGAGATAAATACCTAGGACATGTATTTTACCATGGGGAGTAGTAAGTAGAAATATTTCTTTGAACAGACTGTAAGGGAAACTGATGGAGAAAGGAGCACATTGACATGTTAGTATACTACACATATTGACAGAGATACTGACCCAGTTCAGGTAAATCTTTCAAGATTAAGAGAAAACCAAAGTTTTAAAGTTATTTAAATTTTCAAAAAACAAACCCCTCAGCAAGTCTAAGTAACCAGATACCCATAGGAATACTTGTGGGAACACCTGTAAATTCAGATTTATGACAAGAGTGCTATAAACCAGAAATAAAATTCTAAGCCCCCTGACAAACTGAATGGATCCCCTCTCAGCCAAGGGCATTCAAAAGTTAAACTCAAAAAAATAGTTCAGGCCATGCATGACAGGAAGGGAGTTGGGACATGCCTCATTATACTCTCTTCCGTTTGGAATTCAGGCACAAGGGACCAGCATAAACATTTAAAGAGACATCTTAAGAGTGAGGAAATAAACTCATCATAGCAATAAGATACTAAATTCCAACCTGACTCTAGTATAGTCTCACATGACAGATAGCAGGCCCTGAAAGAAATCAAAATAATTTACCTCAAAATATATATTTGAAATGGCCCCGAAAAGCCATTCCTTGTGGGGAAATCTACGTTCTATAGAAAATCCCCTTCCCTTTCCAGGTCTTTTCCTAATCCAGGAGAGATTAACTAACAGTCTGGCACCTTTTTGGTCTGATAATAGACAGTCTATGATTTCTGAAACTTGCTACCTGGAGGCTTTATCTGCATAATAAGAACCTTGGTTTCCACAACCACTTATCTTAGCTGATACTCCTTTCTATTGATTCCAGGTCTTTAGATAATAACAATTCTTTCAGCCAATTGCCAATCAGAAAATCTTTAAATCTTTTGGGAAGCCGAGGCAGGCAGATCACCTGTGGTCAGGAGTTCAAGACCAGCTTGGTCATCATGGTGAAACCCTGTCTCTACTAAAAATACAAAAATTAGCCGGGTGTGGTGGCACATGCCTGCAATCCTAGCTACTCAGAGGTTGAGACAGGAGAATCTGTTGTACCAGGGATGCGGAGGTTGTAGTGAGCCAAGATCACGCCACTGCACTCCAGCCTGGGCGACACAGCGAGACTCTTTGTCTCAACAACAACAACAAAAAAAAAAAAAAAAAAAAGGAAGAAAATCTTTAAATCTACCTATGACCTGGAAGCTCCTGCTTTCAGTTATCCTGCCTTTCCAGACAAAACCAATGTATACCTTACATATATGAATTGATATCTGCCTGTAACTTTTGTCCCCTAAAATGTATAAAATCAAGCTGTAACCACCTTGAGCACATGTTCTCAGGAACTCTTGAGACTGTGCCTTTCGCCTTGTTCACTCATATTTGGCTCATAATAAATTCCTTGAAATAGTTTACAGAATTTGACTCTTTTTCATCAACACTTCCAAGGTTATTCAATAGGGAAAGGGCACCCTTTTCAAAAAATAATGTTCAGAAACCTGTACATTCATATTCAAAGAATGAAGTTGGACCCTTACCTAACAACATACACAAAACTTACGTCAATTAGGGTCAAAACTTAAATGCAAGACCAAAAACTATAACACCTTTGGAAGAAAGCATAAGGCAAAACCTTTATGACATTTAATTTAGCTGTAATTTCTTAGATATGACACCCAAGACATAGATAACAAAAGAAAAAAATAGATAAACTGGACTTTATAAATATGGAAAAACTGTACATTAAAAGACACTGTCAAGAGAGTAAAAACACAACCCACAGAACAGAAAGAAAAACATTTGCAATTATATATCTGAAAATTAATAGATATTCAGAATATTTAGGGAACTTACAACATTCAACAATAAAAAAAAGACAACTGAATTCAAAATGATCAAAGGCTTTGAATAAACATTTCTTTAACAAAAACATACCATTTGCCAATAAGCACATAAAAGATTCCCTAATAAATCAAAACTACAGTGATATATTGTCTTACACCTATTTGGATGGCTACCTTCAAAAACACAGAAAATGCCAAGTGTTGACAAGAATGTGGAAAAATTGAAACCCTTATGGCCTGTTAGTGGGAATGTAAAATGATACCACTGATCTGAAAAACAGTATGGTTGTTCCTCAAAAATTAAAAATAGATTTTCCAAATGATCCAGCTTTAAACTTCTGGGTAATTACCCCCAAAATTTCTGGGGGCCAAAGCCCTTGACCCCTAAAGCTTTGCTGAAAAGTCACTTATATGAGGCAAATTAATAGCGGAAAAGTCAGGCAAACTTATTTAATGTGTATACATGGGAGCTTTTCAGAATATAGATTCTATCAACCCCTTAATAACGTACATAATTTTATATACCATCTTGAGATTACAGAAAGAATGCAGGCCCAAAGTATGGCCAAATACAGGTATTAGTGGCAACATGGGCTATGAGAGGGAGAAACGAAGAGGCTTGGCTAGCAAGCCTTGTTGCGTAGATGAAGCCTCACAAGTAGTTGCCTTCAGAGGGAATAGATGGTAAAAGTTTCTTTTCAGACTTTGAAAGATTTCAGACTTTCAGTTAATCTCTCCGATATCCGGGAAAGAGCTAGAAAAGGAAGACTTGACTGAATTAATGGAAATTCTCAAAAGTTGCAAATTTCCTCTGCCTCAGTATTCTGGCCTTGCAGCAGCCATTTCAAAATATGATAAAGAAATACATATGGGGGTAAAATGTTTTGATTTCCTTCTATTGAAAGCAGGTTTTTGAAGAAGTATTTGTACACTTATTATATTCATAGATGCATTATTCACAGTAGGTAAAATGTGAAAGCAACTCATGTCCACCAGCAGATAAATGAGTAAGTAAAATTTGATATATACATCCAATAGAAATGTATTCAGTGTTAAAAATGAATGAAATTCTGACATATGCTACAATATGCATAAACCCTGAGGACATTATTCTAAGTGACTACTACTCCTATGCGAGTAGTTAAAATCCTAAAGACAGAAAGTAGAACCATGGTTGTCAGGATTTCCTTTGGAAAGGGAAAATGGGGAGTTTGTTTTTTAATGGGTATAGTTTCAGTTTTATAAGATGAGAGAGAGAGATGGATGGTGGTGATGGTTGAACATTTTGACTGTATTTAATAACATTGAACCATACACATAAGATTGGCTAAGATAAATTTTGTTTGTTTATTTTTCCTCTATTAAAACAAATTCTAGCAGGAAAAAAAAGCCTAAAAGAAGTTGTATAAATAAACTTCTTTTTAGACTTAGAAATAGAGTAAGAAAATAGTGTATAGTTATTTCATTCTTGATTTTCTAAATTTTATTTAGTAAAACATCAACTTGATTTATTAGCATAGTAACATGGGAGTAACAACAAAATAATAATAAAACAGACAAAAAACACAATATTTAATTAATAGTAAATGTATAAAACATCTTCCATTCTTTTAATTTGCTTTGTATTAACCATTTTAGGGTATATATTTTTGAAAAAGCAGTGAGATGTTTAGATTTCAATATCCATATTTCAATCTTTTAAGTAGAAGGATAAATGGCACTGGTAAAATAAATCCCTGTTGCCCTAAAAATGTCCTGGCAGTTAATATAATTTAACACTTGTATACACTGTATGGTATATTTTTGCCACTTTAAGAACTATAACATTTTATTTTCATATGAATTTTGAAGTGTTAATTATATGAAACCAGTTTTAATAAGAGCTTGATTAGGTAACACTGCCTAAATGCCTCTTGGTTCAAAGGGGCCTGAAACAAATGATTTTTCATCCTGATGCTAGTTTTTTCTAATGATCCTCTAGGAAAATCTATGTCAAGTTTTTATTTTGAGAAATCATTTTTGAACAAAGAAAACCGTATTTACCCAAAAACTTCTGTGATTTTTAAAACTAGCATCTATTGTCACAAAAACAAAATGTACTTGGTACTTAAGTGACGTATTTTTACCATCAGAGTTAAATGAATTTTACATACATTTATGCATCTGAATTCACATAATATTTACTTGCCAGTAAAATATATATTTTATTTGAAGTAACATAAAAACAACAATTAGTTTATTATTGCTTATATTTTAAACTGCTAATGTTATGTTAAAGTTATTTAAATAATTTATAGTCTTTATAGTCAGCTTAATGGTCTCAGCATAGTTTTGCTGCATTTGTGTTAAATTTTCCCAAATATTATTTGAACTCTTGACCACTCTGATCATAAGGTTAACATTCAAATCAACTTAAAAAATTATGTTTTACATGAACTTCATTAAAATTTAATATTAATGAGAATGAATAATGTGCTTAACTTACTTTAAGGCAAATATCCATTGTTACCTTTACTTAATATAAGTGAAGCAAAATATGTAGATTTGCTTTCAAATATTATGTCTCTTCTATCTGGTTCCTTACTATTTTGAAAAGTTCACTCTTTTATTGGTGAGACACATAAGATTTTAAATGATTAAGATCTCTTTGTCATGCTTATTGTTTGCTTACATTTTATATCCTTATCTGTCATTATGGAGTCAAATGTATCAGCCCTGAAGGAGGAATGTAGCTTATCTTAAATATGTTTTCAAAGTTGCATAAGGGTAAGAAATATTTTTAGGTCATGGATCTTCTGCTGAAGAGTTGAACAGGTATTTAAAATCCTTCACATTTGAAAATTTTGTAAGATAAAAAAAGTTTCTTTAAAAAAAAATAAATAAAATTATCTTTGTCATAAAAAATTGTCTTAAATATGGAACTTTTTATGTGTTTAAGTATTTTTTAACATTTTTCTAGCTTTGTTTCATAAACAGACATTAGACTGCTACCATGAAAATTAAATTTACTTAGATCATAAAAATAGTAAAATTGTAACAATATTAATAATATTAATGATGATAAAAAATAAAAAATTCCATAGTAATAATTGCAATTTTAAAGCATTTTATGTCTTAAGCTCTCTGCTATGCACTGTATATGAATTAACTTAATAAATCATTCTACTAAAATTGTGGGTACATACTGCACTAAATATAATGCTTTTTGCCTGAAAAAAACCCACAGAATCTCAACTCTGTAAGGGAAGTTTATTATCTCATATTGCAAAGATCTAAGAGGTCAGGAACTCCCAGAGTTGTTTAATTCAGTGATTGAATGATGTCAAGAGCCCTCCTTCGTTCCTTATGACTTTCCCTGCTCAGCATGGTGGCTTTGTTCCCAAGCTCCCTCCCTTCATGAGAGTAAAATGGCTATGACTCTGTATGCAAACAGAAGAACATCTGGTGGAAAATGGAGATAATTCTACTTGTGTGATTTTTTTTAAATGAGGGAAATTTCCCCATTTTCTTTCCAGCAGCCTTCTCCAAATATAAATATGACTATAGATACAAATATAAACGTGAATAAAATATATTATTATCTTTTAGTGGTAGAATCATGTAGTAGGATTCTCTAGAGGGACAGAACTAATAGAATATGCATATAGAGAGAGAGAGAGAAAGAGAGGAGTTTTTTAAGTAGTATTAGCTCACAAAATCAAAAGGTTCCACAATAAACCATCTGCAAGCTGAGGAGCAATGAGGCCAGTCTGAGGCCCAAAGCTGAAGAACTCGGAGTCTGAACTTGGGCAGGAAGCATCCAGCACAGGAGAAAGATGCAGGCTGAGAGACTAAGCCAGTCAAGCCTTTTCATGTTTTTCTGCCTGCTTTATATCCTGGCCATGCTGGCAGCTGATTAGATGGTGCCCACCCAGATTAAGGGTGGGTCTGCCTTTCTCAGGTCACTGACTCAAATGTTAATCTCCTTTGGCAACACCCTCACAGACACACCCAGTATCAGTAATTTGCATCCTTCAATCTAATGAAATTGACACTCAGCATTAACCATCACAAGTCTACCCCTTGTCAACTTGAACCCATACAAATCTCCTGAGATCATACATAATCTTCAAGTAAAGACAATAATAAGGTCATTTTCTTGGCCTGATGTTAAAGAGAAGGACTTTGCTAATTTTTTAAATGTCTTTTTTTTCTGTCATTTTTTTTTCTATTTAAGGTTAGTGATTTTAGAGCATATTTGAATGTGAAAGTAATGATCTAATATGTATACTGGATGAGACTAATAAAGTAGAGAAAACACAGGTGGTCGGGTGCGGTGGCTCACGCCTGTAATCCCAGGACTTTGGGAGGCCAAGGCAGGCAGATCACAAGGTCAGGAGATCGAGACCATCTTTGCTAACATGGTGAAACACCATCTCTACTACAAATACAAAAAATTAGCCAGGTGTGGTGGTGGGCACCTGTAGTCCCAGCTACTCGGGAGGCAGAGGCAGGAGAATGGCGTGAACCCCGGAGGCAGAAGTTACAGTGAGCTGAGATCGCGCCACTGCACTCCAGCCTGGGCAACAGAGTGAAACTCTGTCTCAAAAAAAAAAAAAAAAGAAAAAGAAAGAGAAAAAAGAAAAAAAAAAAAAAAGAAAACACAGATAACCAAGGACCAAGGGAGCAGCTTTAATAAGTCACTAATGGAGGACAACAAGAACAATTAGATGGATATTTTTCTTTGACAGAAAAAAAAAATCCCTTAAAATGAAACGAATGCAAAAACATACTCAGTAAAGTTTGGAACATTATTCCTGGAAACTGATGCAGCTTTTTAATTCTTTCTCACAAGGGCTGATGGTTTAGGTTAATAGATTAACCTGTGAATTAGGTTAATAGGTTATTATTTGAAAGTGAGGAGGAAGAGAAAAAAATGAGTGGATAATTCAAAGATTAGTGAAATAGTATGTATGTATAATAAGTAGAAAAATGTGTTGTTCTCAGATATTAACAGGAGAGAATTCAGTATTGGTATCTGATATCCAATGTTATAAAAGCAATTATTATCCTAACTATGTAATGACAAGCTATTATTTTTCCTAGATTAGCACTTACATACATGAATCACAAAATACAACTTTGGAAAAGCTCCTATAGCCTTCTATACCAATTTTTTTCCAAACATATCATACCTAAATTAGATATATTCTGGCAAGCTTGCATATTTTCAAATATGTCTTAATCTGTAATGCTTTTGAATTACTTTTTCTTTTTAATAATAACTGCAAAGAATTTAGTATTAGCTTATTCTGGATCCAAGTATTTCTACCTTGGCCCTATTATGGATTAGATAATATTTTGTCGCTGTTGCAGAGTCTGTTCTGTTCATTTTTGGATGTTCAGGATTATACTCAGCCTAACTTGCTAGATATAATAGCACTCCTTACTTCTGACTCTGAAAACTGGAAAAAATAATCTTCTGCCATTGCCAGTGTCCTCTGGAGAGCCAAACTGGCCCACGTTGAGAGCCACAGTTGTGGTTTACAGAAACAACTACTTTTAAGAGACCCACATTCTATGCTTTTGATGCTTGTTTTTATTTGTAGTGACAATTATCCAGGCCCCAATGACATAAGGTTAACTGTTGTAGGCTACTGAGAAAATAACAATGATTGGATTAATAAGTAAATTATGTGTTGCTACCAATTTAGGGCCACGTGCCATGCTGTACTGAAATGTTTCTCAGTCTCTAAAATCAAAAACCAAATCACCTGTCCAGACAGACTTTGCCAAAAACAAAACAAAACACAATTTGTAGAACTGTCATAAAGCTCTTAATGGACTCACATTTTATCTTTAAAATGTTATAGTCTGCCCAATATATTAATCTGTTTGTAGTCGCATAGATGATTACTTAAGTTCTTGTTTCCCAACATTTTTGTTCACACCTTTATTATTATCCTCAATGTTAATTTTCCATTGTTTTATTCACCCTTTTATTTTTCACATGTTTCTTCTCACAGACTAATCATCTTCAAGTTGACTGTAATAATTAAAATATTGTTCTGTGGAAAATGTTACTATAAATCATCATACACTTACATACCTTGAATACACTTACATTACCTTGAAACATGAGTGTGTCATAATGAAAATGTGACTAAAACAAACATTTAGTGCTTAAGTGGCATCCAAATTTCAGTCTGTTTAGTGGCATAAGGAAATTACATGCTCCTATCAAAAAATATAAAAGTTTATATTAAGAAGCCAGAGTGCCATTGTGCTTTAATCAGGCTTTCATCTAAATGGAAATGAGCAGGACTAATTACTTAGAATTCAAATGCTGAGCTGAACCAGGCCTTTTATAAAATAACTGGTTATTTTTACAGTGCCAAGGTAAGGAACTATCCTGTAAAATAAATCCATCTACAACATAAGTAGATTTAGTAGTTACAAAGATGATAAGTTCGTTGCTGTTCTTAGATATACATTAAAATATTTATCCCAAAATGCTCAAAATAATACTTTTTAATATTTGTAACTATGACACATTAAGAAAACGTTAAAAGGGACCAATATTTTGGTACTATCATTCATAGTATTTGCTTCTACTTTATTTCTGTAATGTGAATGGAGGCATCAGACAAGGATATTGATCCTCTAAAAAAGCTTGTGTAATACACAGAAACACTGCACACAAATATTTGGAAAACATAAACATACAGATCTATTCATGTATAATTAATTTTCGGGAATGACACTTTCTACATTCAGACTTAATAAAAATATTTATACGGCCTTTCTTTTATTTAAAAAAATCTGAATTACAATTACAATCACAATCACATTGCTTAGCAAATTAGTTTAAAACACTTGATCCAGTGTTTGGAGGCTACTATGACAAAAATCAAATCTCCCCCAAATGCACATATATATGCATCAAACCAGATAGGGACACAAACAAGCATAACTTTCCACTCTTAGTTCTCACCAGGGGACTTTATGACTGTAAAGATCAGGCCTTCAGCAGCTCAAAATGACCATCTTAACACCATCTTGCAGGCACTCGGGATAAGAACTTGGCTTTTACTCCCGAAGACTCTGCCACATCAAAGGCCCTTCCTTGTAAGACCTATAGACCCTCCGGCCCAGACCATCACTCCTTTTATCTTCTTTGCTCCTCCAGAGCTGGTTTATTAATCTTTTCTCCTATCTCTTTTTCCCTTTGATATTAAATGTTACCTTGTTTGTAGTGGAATGTTTGCTTTATAACATGTATGTATTAAGTATACTATTATGTATGGTTTGCCATACGGACTGACTTGTGGCGTGGCTTGACCCTGTGTGAATGCAGCTCTGCCTACTGAGTGAATGGGAAGTACTAAGAAGAACTGCCTCCTTGGGAACCTCATGTGGCTCGTGGCTTTCGTGATTGAAATTGCATCAATCAAAGCCTGGCATTGTGGAAAGACACAAACACGCATGGACCCGGTGATCTCTGATTTTGCACAGCTCATGACAGCATTGTTTTTCCTCCAAAGAACCCACCAGTTCTTTATAGACCAGAATAATGGTGTCTTTTCCATCTATGGCTCTGTCATCATCCAGGACCTCACTGTCTAGAGATGGATAGTTGAAGTAAAAAGGCTTTGAAGAAAAACATGGGACGGTTTTACATGCCCAAAGTGGAAGTGAAAGAGGTGTTAGTTGCACACATTGTATTTGAGAGAACTTGGCCACAGGGCCACACTGAATGTCAAGGTGGCTGGCAAATATGGTCTAGCTACATGATAAAAATGAGAAGAAAGAATTTGGTGGTTTTGTGGTTTCTGCCCTAAACCTCTGAACAGATTTCCAGCAACTGGACTGTAAGGCTGAAGGAACTAGTCCTGCTTGAAAATTCCTGACAGAAAAATATCTGGTAAATTAGATTTATTTTCTATTAGTAGTACTTAGCTCTATTGTGGGGCAACATACCACTATTGAAAAAAGCTCCAACACACTCTAATGAATCTTGTTCTCTATTTAGATGATTCTTCCCATGAGCCACATACCTAGAGAGAAGCTCTAGAGTCTCATAATTGAACACACTTGTGTTCAGAGATTAGAACTCTTGTACACATCCACATTCAGCCACTATTCAGGAGTATTATCACTATGCCTGGGTAGCTGGTGCTGCAAGGACTCCAAAGCTTAACCATTTACTGATATTCTAGATAAAACTACAGACTGTAGAGATATTTCTGGATCTCACAAAAAGATGTTCCCTTTCTTCCTTTTGAGAACCTCTCTCAGGTCCTTGGAGCCTTTAATGCAAGTGGATATCGTTCTGAACAATCTACGTTCATTTGAGATATTTTAATAAAGTTTCCACTAAAAATAGAAGATGTGAGGGTCATGATTTATAAAAACACCAGCTCCCACCCCCTGACCCCAGCCTCTTTAACACTATGCAATACTATGCATTCTTGCCATTGCAACCACTTTATAAAGCAAAGGGTCTCTGAAGCAGCAGCCTTATCAGACTGCGAGTCTTTTGTATCTTTCCCTCAGGCAAAAAGACTCCTAATTGCATTGACACTGAGAAGAAACCGTGACGTAAAAGGAAGTCTGAAGAAGAAAAATTATTGAAGGACACTTTGCATTTTCCACTATGCACAAAAACTTTAGTGATTTTTCTAGCAATAAATAAAAGAACAAATTGCTTATCTTGCCAGGCATCCTATTATACTTGAATACATTAAATTCGCTGGTTCTTATCCTCAATTAGGTGCCCAAGACATAACTCTCTATACTTTCCATTCTATAATAACTGGCTTGGTATTTTTATGTCTATTTCCTTTTCATAATCTACAAGCTCCAAGAGGAAGCTGCACAATGCATTGTATTTATCACATTTTCATTGTCTAGCACAGTGCCTGGCATAATGTAGATACATAACGTAGAACTCTAACATAGCTGACTTCATCTTGCTTCTGATGTCACAAGATAACTGCCTTTGCTCCTTCCTGCATGGTGAACAAACTAAATTCCTATGGGAGGAGTTTAGTTTATAGTTTAACTATAGTTTTAGTTTATAGTCTAACTATAGTTTTACTTTATAGTTTAACTTTAAAACAAATGATAATAGTCCCTTCCCTAAACTAACTGCTGAGGAAATAAGGAGATGGTACACAAAAGTAACAATATAATGTTACAGATTTATAGAAGCATCGTGACCTGACCAAGGCCAAAGAAATTATGCGACCCCCCTCAGACACCTGCTGATGCACAAATATCTGGTCACCTGTTCCCTCTTCAACTCATCCTCCTCATTGTTCTCCCTTCCCAATATAAAAAGAAGCATGAGATTTAGGCCTTTTAAGATGACTCTTCAGGACACTAGTCTTCCATTTCTTGGCTTGCTCCTCTTCAACACAAAGTTGCTTTCCTTGGTCTAACACCTTATTGGCTATTGTGTGGCAAGTAGTACGAGCTTTGGACTCGGCTAGAGATACACAATCAATATGCCTTAACTAGATGAATGTATCAAAATCTCACCATTAGTGAACTGAGGCAATTCTTAAAGGTTTAGTGCTTTATCACTTCATACTGTCTTTTTTTCAAGGTGCATGAAGTAGAAATTAGCCCTTTCTGAACATTGTTATATGTTTGCATAATGAGAAAAAATAACAAATAATAAGAATGATAGATTGAATTTGTCTTCATATGAAACAGCTCTCAATGCATGAAACAAGAAATAAAAATACAGCTTGGTTCAGTGACTGCCTGAATCTCCCTTAGCTCATCTTTAAAAATGAAACTGTGAGTTTTATCTTATCACATTAATTTACTAGTAATTTTAGTTTGAGTAAATGGTCAAACACAGTTGGCATTTAACATAAAGCACAGAAGTAAAGATTGCAATCTTTTAAATACGTTTTAGACTTATCAGGCAAAGCATTTTTCTTGCATATTGCTGTCAGGAATATTTGTTAGGGGTAATTTTATATTGTTGTTGCTGGTAAAAATTGAAAAACTCCGTAAGTTAATTGGGAAGTAAATTAAGAATCTGCAAGTGAGAAATACAGAATCAAATGTTCACTTCACAAAAAAAACCTTTGCATTGTGATTAATGACATTGGTTTACAGTAATCATTATTTCTCACAAATTAGTTCTTCATTGATTACCATAAAAATGCATTTGATTGGTGTTTGCATGAGTTTACTCAGTTTTACCTCTCAATTTCCATCTCACACAAACAAAGCCATAAAAGATATTAAGAAGGAGAGAAGGAAGAGAAAGAACTGTAAAAGAGGAAGGAGGTAAGGGATGAACAGTTACATAAAGGGGGGAATGTACATTATTTGCGTGATGGTACACTGAAATCCCAGACTCCACCAAGACACAATATATTTGTGTAACAAAACTGCACTTGTACCCCTTAAATTTATGCAAATTTTTTAAAAAGAGGGAAGAGAAGAAAAAAACGGAGGGGAAAAAAGTTACATGAATTGTAAAAAATCTGTATGAAGAGCCATAGAAAGTTTGTCTTTGGGAATTCAGAGAAGCAGAGATTAAGCCAGGATTAGACCTGCAAGAGATTTATTGAGTAAAACAAGCACCGGGAATAATGCATAAGATGCAAAAGTAGACACAATATTCAGACCATTATGCAGGTGTGACTCCTGTGTAGGCAAGAGGGAAGTAATGACACTGGGGTGAAAGGTTCTTAACCTGCAAAGCAGTTCTGAGGGTGTTTTGGGCCAGTCCACTGGGAGTCCTCAAGCCAGTATTGCCATTTGAGGAGTGCCGCATGCTACATGAAGTTATCAGGCCTCTTAGCCCAAGCCTGCACATATACATCCTGATGGCCTGAGGCAACCGAAAAGTATAAAAGAAGTGGAAGTGCCAGCTCCTGTCTCAACTGATTGACCAACCTTAAGACATTCCATTATGACTTGTTCCTGCCCTGCCCCAACTGATCGATCGATTGACCTCGTGACATTCCTCTTTTGGACAATGAGTCTTATGATCTCCTCACCATTCACCTTGTGATCCCTCCTCAGCTGACAATAGATAACCACCTTTAACTGTAACTTTCCACTGCCTGCCCCAGTCCTATAAAACTGCCCCATCCCTATCTCCCTTTGCTGACTCCTGTCTCAGACTCAGCCCATTTGCACCCAAGTGAATAAACAGTCTTGTTGTTCACACAAAGCCTGTTGGTGGTCTCTTCACACGGACGCGCATGACAGAAGTACCTTGCCTTGATATCCTCTCTGTTTTCAGTCACTGAATGGAAGCAACCCACGAGCGTTGTGGACTAAGTGAATTCAGAGAGGTGGCAGCAGTTGATGTCAGACTATTCAGTAGGAAATCTGAGCAGTACATTTTATGGCCACCACAGGTCCATCCCTCATAGCTGAGAAATCTGCTTCTCCATGCAGGTTTGTGGATAAACTCCACATAATCCCTATTAAACTGTCTACTTGTGGGGAATCTTAGAAGAGAGGGAGTAGTAAGGAACCACACCCTGGATGCAGCAGTTCATTTTAAAGCTACAACTTGGCCTTCTCCTTTTTCACATTTACCAAACACTATTCTAATACCCTCCTCAACACTGGTCATCACTTTGTCGCAGTGCATTCTCTGGTGATGCAACTCCAAACTTCATTCCTGATATTTCTGAGCCCTTGGTAATGAGAAAGGAAAATGTCTTGGGTCCTTTCAAGCTGGGAACCACTCAGGCCAAATCTGCATCCCATTCTATTCAAGCCATCCCTTTGCTCACAGAGGTGGATGCATATTCTGATTGCCTTCTTTGGAAAGACTTATCAGAAACTCAAAAGAATACAACCATCTGTCTCTCACCTATATATGACCTGGAAGCCCCTGTGTCGGGACCTTGCTTTGAGCTGTCTCTGCCTTTCTGGACAGAGGTAATGTACTCCTTACATATTGATTGATGTTTCATACCTCCCTAAAATGTGTAAAACCAAGCATGTGGTCAGGACTTTCTGAGGCTGTGTCAAGGGTGTGTCCTCAACCTTGGCAAAATAAACTTTCTAAATTAACTGAGACCTGTCTCAAATTTTGGGGGTTCACGTTTTGGTAACCACGGGGGGGATTCTGAGCGGAGATGCCTCTGACCTTTGACAAATCTCTTTTCAGTGCTTGGTACCAGCATGAGCTAACTTCATGGCTCAAACAAATAGGACAATTTGCTGAGGAATGAGGGCATCCCCTCCAGAGAATGCCTGATCTCCCAAAATTTGGTCGAGATCTAAAGTTTATTTTGCTATAGAACTTTTTTTTGTTTTTGTTTTTGTTTTTGTTTTTGTTTTGGAGCTTTACTTGCTTCTGACGGGAAGGCAAGTTTTCCTGCTTCCATGATGATGGAAGGCAGGTAACTTTTTTTTTTTTTTTTGAGACGGAGTCTCGCTCTGTCGCCATCTGGGCTCACTGCAAGCTCCGCCCCCCGTTCACGCCATTTTCCTGCCTCAGCCTCCAGAGTAGCTGGGACTACAGGCGCCCGCCACCGCGCCCAGCTAATTTTTTGTATTTTTAGTAGAGACGGGATTTCACCGTGTTAGCCAGGATGGTCTCGACCTACTGACCTCGTAATCCGCCCGCCTCAGCATCCCAAAGTGCTGGGATTACAGGCATGAGCCACCGCTCCCGGCCCGGCAGGTAACTCGATGGAGTTTGAGCTCGCTTCCAACAGGGAAGATGAGTTTTCTGTTTTGTTTGTTTTTTCCTGCTTATAGGATGGTAGAGAGCAGTATACAGCCTGAGACCCATTACTAGGCAAGAAACTAGTTTGGGATTCTGTCTTGCAAATTATTTCTAAACGACTCAAGTTAGCATGAACAACCAGCTGGTGTAATTTCTGCTTACACTTAGAGTGTACAAAAATCGTATAATTTGTGTGATTATTGTTAGTTTAGCAGCATTTCGTCCTAGCTGAAATATGATAGCAAGTTTAAAAAACTAATTTTTTTTTGTTAAAGGAGCTCAATAGTTAAAAGTCAGCTTAATGAAAAGGCTAACATCCAAGATGTGTGTGTGCATGTGTGCATCTTTGTATTTTAAAAGCCTTCATGTTTTTGTTTTTTGTTTGTTTTTCTCTCCTAAGACCTTGTTTTTTGAGCCAAGGTTTTTTTTTCTCTCTCAGTTGACTGAATTCTGTTTCCACCTGATTTTTGACTAAAATAGTATTGCAATGGAGGCTATTCTTGGCTTTTTTTTTTTTTTTTTTTTTTTGAGACGGAGTCTTGCTCTGTCGCCCAGGCTGGAGTGTAGTGGCGCGATCTCAGCTCACTGCAAGCTCCGCCTCCCGGGTTCACGCCATTCTCCTGCCTCAGTCTCCCTAGTAGCTGGGACTACAGGCGCCCGCCACCATACCCGGGTAATTTTTAGTATATTTAGTAGAGATGGGGTTTCACCGTGTTAGCCAGGATGGTCTCGATCTCCTGACCTTGTGATCTGTCTGCCTCAGCCTCCCAAAGTGCTGGGATTACAGGTGTGAGCCACTGCACCTGGCCTATTCTTGGATTTTTAAGGAAGAATATAGTTTATACACTCAGAATCTATGTCCTTAAGAAAAAAAAAAGTCAGTGCACTGTAAAAATGTCTCCCTCTAGCACCACCAAACTTTTTCTCTCTATACCTTTATGACGTAAATTTTGCTATTTGATTTTCATCGGAGTGTTTCTTTTAATATGCAAATTTAAGGCTATTTAGCTGACAACTGCCTAGAGTTGTAAAACAGGCTATCAAGTATCTGAAAGTCTAAGATAGAAGAAAAAAAGTGGGAGGGGTTCTTTATGAATCTATAAAATGTACTTCCATTGGCAGGCCTAATAAATTTGTGTATGTATTTATGTGTTGTGTACAGAATGTTTCACTACTAAAAATATGTAAAAGAGTTCTAATTAATTGGCTTAAAGAAAAATAAAATCAGTAAATTAGATACTAAAAAAGACTAGTCAAAGGCATCGTCAAGTTTATGTAACTTAAGTAAAATCTTTAATAAGTAAGCTAGCTTTAAAATTATTGCTAAAGTAATATTACAAATGTTTTAAGAATTTCCAGCATACATTTCTGTTTGCATTTATTAATCAAGCAATTTCATACTCATCCCTGCCAAATACTATAAAGTCTCAAAATTTGGCACAGGGGTTAGAAAACTATGAACCCAGCCCAAATCAAAATGATCTTTGCTTATGTCATTTTTAATAAATAAAACATTGATATGGCTTTAATGAAAATAGCTGCATCTTGAATTTAGTAAGATTACCATAACTTCTAATCCATAACGTCTAATAGACTGCTTTAGGCAGTCTAGTCCACAGACAATAATGAAATTTGTTTTGGGAAAGGAATGTTGTCACCTTTTGTTCAAAGCTAAATAATAAACTAAGTTCCTCCCAAAGTTAGTTCCGTCTATGCCCAGGCGTGAACAAGGATGGCTTGGAGGTTATGAGCACGATGGAGCCAGTTATGTCAAATCTTTTTTTCATTGTCTTTGTTATAATTTTGCAATGGTGATTTCAGAACTTCAAATTATAACTATCACAGTTTTCATAAATAATCTAGGTAAATAATTAAAATAAAATAATTAGGCAAATATAATGGGATAAATACTTGTAGACAAACTGGTTATAATTTAGAATATAAAGTTACATTAAATTAAATAATAATATTCCATTATTTGGGTGTTTGGGTGTTTTCTAATAAATATATATTGTAGGAAAACATTCTTGCTAAATAAAAGAAAATGAAAATGTATGTTTTTTTTTCCAAAAAAAAAAAAAAAAAGGTGAACAAATTTTGTCTGATTAAAAGCTCATTTAAGGGTTATGTATAAAACAAGGTAAAAGGAACCAGGAAAAAAAATGCGAAGAAAGTTATAAAAATAAAGAGGTATTTTTTTGAGGTATAAAAGCTTAAAGAAAAAATAATTTTGTATAAGAAAGAATCTTGTATGGTAAATTTAGTCCTAAAATAAAATAATGGTTGTTTAAAAAGGATGGATATTCAGAACAAATCAGAAAGCCCCACCGTGTCATGAACAGTCAGTGTAAGTCACAATAAGAGGATTTATACATATGTGAAAAAAACTTTTATAATTGTCCTATTATTATTAAGTTTTGTTTTGCTTAGGAAAAAAAACTGAGATTTTTTTTAAAGTTAAGGTTATTACATTTATGCATCTTCCTGTATACGTTTTTAGAGTCTTTGTAACATTGAGTTCCAGGGCTTTTGATTCTTGGGTCTAAAAAGGACACCAAGTTCTGCTAAATCTTAAACACTGATAGCAATTAAATTCTCATCTTCAGGCCCCCTAGAAGATGCCAATCAAAATAAACTGCATTCTTGAGACACAGGGCAAGAAATTAAAGCTATCCACCTCCTCAAGGCCCAGGGACTACGTGGAAGAGGTAGGCATGTAAGATTTTAAGGGTGGATTTTAAAAGATAAAATAAGTTCAATTCCTCCATAAATTAATTATTAATGTCAAAGGCACACTGATGCAAAACCAGTATATGGACCCGTGTATCATACTAACAAGGTTTTCATGAAGCATTAACCAACTCCTTAATAAAGGTTATAAAGGTTATAAAAGGCTTATGGAAGTTATATTTTGTAATCAAGATTAATAGATTGTTTATAAAAGTTTGAAAAACAAATGTAATTGGCTTCATGCTGTTTTTGTTTTTGTTTTTGTTTTTGTTTTTTGTTTTTGTTTTTTTTTATTATACTTTAAGTTTTAGGGTACATGTGCACATTGTGCAGGTTAGTTACATATGTATACATGTGCCATGCTGGTGCGCTGCACCCACTAACTCGTCATCTAGCATTAGGTATATCTCCCAATGCTATCCCTCCCCCCTCCCCCCACCCCACCACAGTCCCCAGAGTGTGATATTCCCCTTCCTGTGTCCATGTGATCTCATTGTTCAATTCCCACCTATGAGTGAGAATATGTGGTGTTTGGTTTTTTGTTCTTGTGATAGTTTACTGAGAATGATGATTTCCAATTTCATCCATGTCCCTACAAAGGACACGAACTCATCATTTTTTATGGCTGCATAGTATTCCATGGTGTATCTGTGCCACATTTTCTTAATCCAGTCTATCATTGTTGGACATTTGGGTTGGTTCCAAGTCTTTGCTATTGTGAATAATGCTGCAATAAACATACATGTGCATGTGTCTTTATAGCAGCATGATTTATAGTCATTTGGGTATATACCCAGTAATGGGATGGCTGGGTCAAATGGTATTTCTAGTTCTAGATCCCTGAGGAATCGCCACACTGACTTCCACAATGGTTGAACTAGTTTACAGTCCCACCAACAGTGTAAAAGTGTTCCTATTTCTCCACATCCTCTCCAGCACCTGTTGTTTCCTGACTTTTTAATGATTGCCATTCTAACTGGTGTGAGATGGTATCTCATTGTGGTTTTGATTTTCATTTCTCTGATGGCCAGTGATGATGAGCATTTTTTCATGTGTTTCTTGGCTGCATAAATGTCTTCTTTTGAGAAGTGTCTGTTCATGTCCTTCACCCACTTTTTGATGGGGTTGTTTGTTTTTTTCTTGTAAATTTGTTTGAGTTCATTGTAGATTCTGGATATTAGCCCTTTGTCAGATGAGTAGGTTGCGAAAATTTTCTCCCATTTTGTAGGTTGCCTGTTCACTCTGATGGTAGTTTCTTTTGCTGTGCAGAAGCTCTTTAGTTTAATGAGATCCCATTTGTCAATTTTGGCTTTTGTTGCCATTGCTTTTGGTGTTTTGGACATGAAGTCCTTGCCCATGCCTATGTCCTGAATGGTAATGCCTAGGTTTTCTTCTAGGGTTTTTATGGTTTTAGGTCTAACGTTTAAATCTTTAATCCATCTTGAATTGATTTTTGTATAAGGTGTAAGGAAGGGATCCAGTTTCAGCTCTCTCCATATGGCTAGCCAGTTTTCCCAGCACCATTTATTAAATAGGGAATCCTTTCCCCATTGCTTGTTTTTGTCAGGTTTGTCAAAGATCAGATAGTTGTAGATATGCGGCGTTATTTCTGAGGGCTCTGTTCTGTTCCATTGATCTATATCTCTGTTTTGGTACCAGTACCATGCTGTTTTGGTTACTGTAGCCTTGTAGTATAGTTTGAAGTCAGGTAGCGTGATGCCTCCAGCTTTGTTCTTTTGGCTTAGGATTGACTTGGCGATGCAGGCTCTTTTTTGGTTCCATATGAACTTTAAAGTAGTTTTTTCCAATTCTGTGAGGAAAGTCATTGGTAGCTTTATGGGGATGGCATTGAATCTGTAAATTACCTTGGGCAGTATGGCCATTTTCACGATATTGATTCTTCCTACCCATGAGCATGGAATGTTCTTCCATTTGTTTGTATCCTCTTTTATTTCCTTGAGCAGTGGTTTGTAGTTCTCCTTGAAGAGGTCCTTCACATCCCTTGTAAGTTGGATTCCTAGGTATTTTATTCTCTTTGAAGCAATTGTGAATGGGAGTTCACTCATGATTTGGCTCTCTGTTTGTCTGTTGTTGGTGTATAAGAATGCTTGTGATTTTTGTACATTGATTTTGTATCCTGAGACTTTGCTGAAGTTGCTTATCAGCTTAAGGAGATTTTGGGCTGAAACAATGGGGTTTTCTAGATATACAATCATGTCGTCTGCAAACAGGGACAATTTGACTTCCTCTTTTCCTAATTGAATACCCTTTATTTCCTTCTCCTGCCTAATTGTCCTGGCCAGAACTTCCAACACTATGTTGAATAGGAGTGGTGAGAGAGGGCATCCCTGTCTTGTGCCAGTTTTCAAAGGGAATGCTTCCAGTTTTTGCCCATTTAGTATGATATTGGCTGTGGGTTTGTCATAGATAGCTCTTATTATTTTGAAATACGTCCCATCAATACCTAATTCATTGAGAGTTTTTAGCATGAAGGTTTGTTGAATTTTGTCAAAGGCTTTTTCTGCATCTATTGAGATAATCATGTGGTTTTTGTCTTTGGCTCTGTTTATATGCTGGATTACATTTATTGATTTGTGTATATTGAACCAGCCTTGCATCCCAGGGATGAAGCCCACTTGATCAAGGTGGATAAGCTTTTTGATGTGCTGCTGGATTCGTTTTGCCAGTATTTTATTGAGGATTTTTGCATCAATGTTCATCAAGGATATTGGTCTAAAATTCTCTTTTTTGGTTGTGTCTCTGCCCGGCTTTGGTATCAGAATGATGCTGGCCTCATAAAATGAGTTAGGGAGGATTCCCTCTTTTTCTATTGATTGGAATAGTTTCAGAAGGAATGGTACCAGTTCCTCCTTGTACCTCTGGTAGAATTCAGCTGTGAATCCATCTGGTCCTGGACTCTTTTTGGTTGGTAAACTATCAATTATTGCCACAATTTCAGCTCCTGTTATTGGTCTATTCAGAGATTCAACTTCTTCCTGGTTTAGTCTTGGGAGAGTGTATGTGTTGAGGAATTTATCCATTTCTTCTAGATTTTCTAGTTTATTTGCGTAGAGGTGTTTGTAGTATTCTCTGATGGTAGTTTGTATTTCTGTGGGATCAGTGGTGATATCCCCTTTATCATTTTTTATTGTGTCTATTTGATTCTTCTCTCTTTTTTTCTTTATTAGTCTTGCTAGTGGTCTATCAATTTTGTTGATCCTTTCAAAAAACCAGCTCCTGGATTCATTGATTTTTTGAAGGGTTTTTTGTGTCTCTATTTCCTTCAGTTCTGCTCTGATTTTAGTTATTTCTTGCCTTCTGCTAGCTTTTGAATGTGTTTGCTCTTGCTTTTCTAGTTCTTTTAATTGTGATGTTAGGGTGTCAATTTTGGATCTTTCCTGCTTTCTCTTGTGGGCATTTAGTGCTATAAATTTCCCTCTACACACTGCTTTGAATGCGTCCCAGAGATTCTGGTATGTTGTGTCTTTGTTCTCGTTGGTTTCAAAGAACATCTTTATTTCTGCCTTCATTTCGTTATGTACCCAGTAGTCATTCAGGAGCAGGTTGTTCAGTTTCCATGTAGTTGAGCGGCTTTGAGTGAGATTCTTAATCCTGAGTTCTAGTTTGATTGCATTGTGGTCTGAGAGATAGTTTGTTATAATTTCTGTTCTTTTACATTTGCTGAGGAGAGCTTTACTTCCAACTATGCGGTCAATTTTGGAATAGGTATGGTGTGGTGCTGAAAAAAATGTATATTCTGTTGATTTGGGGTGGAGAGTTCTGTAGATGTCTATTAGGTCCACTTGGTGCAGAGCTGAGTTCAATTCCTGGGTATCCTTGTTGACTTTCTGTCTCGTTGATCTGTCTAATGTTGACAGTGGGGTGTTAAAGTCTCCCATTATTAATGTGTGGGAGTCTAAGTCTCTTTGTAGGTCACTCAGGACTTGCTTTATGAATCTGGGTGCTCCTGTATTGGGTGCATATATATTTAGGATAGTTAGCTCTTCTTGTTGAATTGATCCCTTTACCATTATGTAATGGCCTTCTTTGTCTCTTTTGATCTTTGTTGGTTTAAAGTCTGTTTTATCAGAGACTAGGATTGCAACCCCTTCCTTTTTTTGTTTTCCATTTGCTTGGTAGATCTTCCTCCATCCTTTTATTTTGAGCCTATGTGTGTCTCTGCACGTGAGATGGGTTTCCTGGATACAGCACACTGATGGGTCTTGACTCTTTATCCAATTTGCCAGTCTGTGTCTTTTAATTGGAGCATTTAGTCCATTTACATTTAAAGTTAATATTGTTATGTGTGAATTTGATCCTGTCATTATGATGTTAGCTGGTGATTTTGCTCGTTAGTTGATGCAGTTTCTTCCTAGTCTCGATGGTCTTTACATTTTGGCATGATTTTGCAGTGGCTGGTACCGGTTGTTCCTTTCCATGTTTAGCACTTCCTTCAGGAGCTCTTTTAGGGCAGGCCTAGTGGTGACAAAATCTCTCAGCATTTGCTTGTCTGTGAAGTATTTTATTTCTCCTTCACTTATGAAGCTTAGTTTGGCTGGATATGAAATTCTGGGTTGAAAATTCTTTTCTTTAAGAATGTTGAATATTGGCCCCCACTCTCTTCTGGCTTGTAGGGTTTCTGCCGAGAGATCCGCTGTTAGTCTGATGGGCTTCCCTTTGAGGGTAACCCGACCTTTCTCTCTGGCTGCCCTTAACATTTTTTCCTTCATTTCAACTTTGGTGAATCTGACAATTATGTGTCTTGGAGTTGCTCTTCTTGAGGAGTATCTTTGTGGCGTTCTCTGTATTTCCTGAATCTGAACGTTGGCCTGCCTTGCTAGATTGGGGAAGTTCTCCTGGATAATATCCTGCAGAGTGTTTTCCAACTTGGTTCCATTCTCCCCATCACTTTCAGGTACACCAATCAGACGTAGATTTGTTCTTTTCACATAGTCCCATATTTCTTGGAGGCTTTGCTCATTTCTTTTTATTCTTTTTTCTCTAACCTTCCCTTCTCACTTCATTGCATTCATTTCATCTTCCATTGCTGATACCCTTTCTTCCAGTTGATCGCATCGGCTCCTGAGGCTTCTGCATTCTTCACGTAGTTCTCGAGCCTTGGTTTTCAGCTCCATCAGCTCCTTTAAGCACTTCTCTGTATTGGTTATTCTAGTTATACATTCTTCTAAATTTTTTTCAAAGTTTTCAACTTCTTTGCCTTTGGTTTGAATGTCCTCCCGTAGCTCAGAGTAATTTGATCGTCTGAAGCCTTCTTCTCTCAGCTCGTCAAAGTCATTCTCCATCCAGCTTTGATCCGTTGCTGGTGAGGAACTGCATTCCTTTGGAGGAGGAGAGGCGCTCTGCATTTTAGAGTTTCCAGTTTTTCTGTTCTGTTTTTTCCCCATCTTTGTGGTTTTATCTACTTTTGGTCTTTGATGATGGTGATGTACAGATGGGTTTTCGGTGTGGATGTCCTTTCTGTTTGTTAGTTTTCCTTCTAACAGACAGGACCCTCAGCTGCAGGTCTGTTGGAATACCCTGCAGTGTGAGGTGTCAGTGTGCCCCTGCTGGGGGGTGCCTCCCAGTTAGGCTGCTCGGGGGTCAGGGGTCAGGGACCCACTTGAGGAGGCAGTCTGCCCGTTCTCAGATCTCCAGCTGCGTGCTGGGAGAACCACTGCTCTCTTCAAAGCTGTCAGACAGGGACACTTAAGTCTGCAGAGGTTACTGCTGTCTTTTTGTTTGTCTGTGCCCTGCCCCCAGAGGTGGAGCCTACAGAGGCAGGCAGGCCTCCTTGAGCTGTTGTAGGCTCCACCCAGTTCAAGCTTCCTGGCTGCTTTGTTTACCTAAGCAAGCCTGGGCAATGGCGGACGCCCCTCCCCCAGCCTCGCTGCCACCTTGCAGTTTGATCTCAGACTGCTGTGCTAGCAATCAGCGAGATTCCGTGGGCGTAGGACCCTCCGAGACAGGTGTGGGATATAATCTCATGGTTCGCCACTTTTTAAGCCGGTCTGAAAAGCGCAATATTTGGGTGGGAGTGACCCGATTTTCCAGGTGCGTCGGTCACCCCTTTCTTTGACTCGGAAAGGGAACTCCCTGACCCCTCGCGCTTCCCAGGTGAGGCAATGCCTCGCCCTGCTTCGGCTCGCGCACGGTGCGCGCACCCACTGACCTGCGCCCACTGTCTGGCACTCCCTAGTGAGAGAAACCCAGTACCTCAGATGGAAATGCAGAAATCACCCGTCTTCTGCGTCGCTCACGCTGGGAGCTGTAGACCGGAGCTGTTCCTATTCGGCCATCTTGGCTCCTCCCCTCTCATGCTGTTTTTATTAGGGCTTCTTGTTTAGAAAATTTAAGTCTCCTCTCTCAAAGAATGAAAGTTTTCACTTTTTTTGAAATCCTTGAATTATCGTTTTGGATAAATAAATGACTTTACAATGACCTTTAATCGTATTTTGTAATATCAAGCATTTTAAAACTTTTATATTTGACAAACTTACCAAAATCAAATTATGAATTGTGTCTTTTTCCAACTTAATCTTTTAAGACACTAGGTTCCCTGAAATCCAAAAATCACAGAATTTTTCTTACTTGGTATAAAAGTTATACAGAAAGCATTGTCAAATATGAAATGGTGTTTGGTTTTCTCTGGGCTGTATTTGTATAAATATGTTATTGATATGTGTAGCAAGATTATGGGAAACACCTGTAATTCTGATATAACTTAGTGTACATTATCAGTAGTAATCATAATTGTTATGTTAAAATTATTGTGTGCCACAGAAGTAACAAATTTTCCTTGTCAATTGTGTCTTTTAACTATAGCTGCCTTAAAGTTTTTTCATCCATGGACAATTGTTGCCTTGTTTTGGTTCTCTTTAGAAAGTGATTTTATAATCAGCTATGAATCTCCAACAGGTGTTCCTGAATGCAGGTTTCTGATAGCTTTGGAGACTGTGACATCAAAATAGAGAACAAACTTTCAGGACTTGTAGAAAGTGAAAATGTTCATGAGTATCAAGCAGAACAGGAATTAACTGCATGGACTGAACCAATCTTTTTGACGTTTTGCTTAATATGTTTGCTGATCCTTTGCTTTGTTTTTCAGAGTCTTAAAACTTTTCTTCTGAGCTATTGACAGCTTTTAACAATTTAGTATATTTCTATGAACAAAATTTGGAGCACATTTGTTTCTCTCTACCTGATTTCTCCAGAATTGGAAACTGCTTGTTAGTATTCTTAACTTATGGCAATACAGTTATTTGCATAAGTGCAATAAGGATCTGTTTTCATTTGTAACAGGTCACAATTGGAGAAACTGGTTATTTTACCAAGACTTTTACTGGAATGCTGTGCTTTCCCTTAAGGAATCAAACTTGACTTATGGAGCCAATAAAGCCCTTGGATAAACTGGCCTCATATTTTGTGTACACAGTTCCTGTACAAGGTTTCTGACCTGTGGCAAGTAAATAATGTCACTTTCTAACAGGTGCAGAAGCCCCAGGTTTGTCTTGAAACCTAAAGAGGAGAGGAAATTTCACCCAACTCATGGGTATTTGAAGGCACAATCCATGGCTGGGCTGGGCTTTAAAATGTCTTATCTGAGATTTCTCTTATTGAACAAAGTTCCATCAGAGCCAATTTAAAAGCCTATGTAAAAAAAATAATTATTCTTGCTGCAATGTATACAAATATTTAGGCCAAGTATAATAAGCAAACCAGTTCTACCATTATTTGTCTTTAGTAAAATGGAAAATGGAGAGAGAAAAAAAATTTCAAAATGATTGTATACCTGCTGTTAGATTCTAGTCTTTCCTAATGTTTTTTTTACAATTTTTATTATTTTCTACAGTTTGGACTGAATTCTAATTTTTCTTGGCTACAAGCCTTAAAATAATGCTTTCAATTTTTTTCCTTCTCCTTTTCATTTTTCCTAATTTGGAGTCACCAAAAACTAAGTTGTGCTTTTTTAAAACCCTGCAAACTGAAGATAGACAACTTAAACTTCAGAAGAAAATAACAGTAACCTATTTATATACATAAGCCACTTTCATACCTGCCTACTAATGTACGGATGTCAGAGTAATAAATGCCTTTCTCAAGCCAGCATTGCTATACCTGACCATTTATAGTTAAAAGGTGCAAGGATGTACAACGAAATGTTTAAATAACATAGGCATGAGGCCATCTTAATGATTCTGGAAATGACACCACATCTGAAACATAGACTCTGATCAGATTACAATTTAGTTGAGCTTGTGGCATTCTATATGCATGCTACAGGAACGTGCCAGTTTTAAAGGGGCCAGATTGACCAATGAAATGAAAATATGAGAGGCACAAAAATTTCCAAATTATTTAGGCCTTTAATGGCACCACTAATCTTTGCTATATCCTCTGAGATGAAATAAAATTTTGATACTCTATCTTGGCTAGGTAAGGGAAGACTTTGAGAAGTTTCCATTTGGCATTCCCCACTATAATAGCTCTTAACCTACAGGTCAAGGATTCTATCCAAGAGTTACTTCAACTCACAATATATAAATTCCAATTATACACTGGAGAACTGGGGAATTGACCTCTGGGGATCCAAAGGCCCAATGTGCATATTGTAAGTAAGGCTTAAGCCAGGGTTCCATTTATTACCTGGCCCCATAAGCTATGAAAGCACATTGGGCTTCTGGGAATATCTGTTTCCAAAAATGATGAAAATGTTTGCTTATGCCTCTTTGTTCAATTTGCAGTTGCCTGAATAAATGACCATAGGTCCCATAGGAGAAGAACTGAAGGAAAATATACTTATTGTGGTCTTGTGAAAACCCTTCTTCCTAGCTATCTGGCTGTCACCAGTAAATAGGCTTTATTTCTGATAATTGACACAATTCTGGGAACTGAGCAAGGAATCATGAATTTTTATTGAAGTGACCACCTTCATCTTCCTGCTCCTCTATTTCTGCCATTTTCTTATCGTAGATAGTAATTGGTACTTTGTTGCCTATATCTTTTGCCCCTAGGAACAGCATACTCAATTAACCATTTCTACCACTATCTGTGACAGGGTCATGCACCTTAGCTATCTTTCTGACCTTGGCATTTGTTACATAGTTGTGCCCTCAGGACTTCTACTGTGTGATAATTTCCCCCTCACTTCTATTATTTTGGAGCCCAAAATCCCTACAGATATTAATAATTTCAGCATTGTTACTGCCTTTCCTACCGTTGACTCCAGTCATACATAGAAGAGTCACCACTGAACTTTTAGTGATGCTGGTGTCCTCCTTGATACCCTAGGTGAAGAGTGTATACACTCTGAGTTTTCCTTTGAAACATTATCTACACTCTCCTAATTCTCCCACACTCATGTAATTATTTCAACCCGCATTTCCTCTTCCTTCAGCCTCTGTATTCTGCCATGACAATTCGGCCACGTGCGTGTTGCTCAGCATGTAGCTTTATTTTCGTCACTCTTTTAGAGCAGTGAGCTTGTCCTATTCCCTGGAGTCCCTTCCTGAACATTAAATCCTCATGTCCTGAGACACGTTTTTACTTATTAAATATTACATTTTAAGCTATATAAATCAAGTACTCTTAAAATGCCATCCCTGGGCTTCTCTCCTTACTCTTGCCGGGACTGCTAGCTAATCATTATAGTTTCTTTACTGAGTGGTCTCTCTCCTTTCTAATCAGGCCTAGCACATTCCCACCTGGATTGTGTTGAAATCTAATGCTAGTTATCAAGGTCTTGAGGCAGGGAAGTGATCACATTTGCCCTGATGAGAGAGGCCTCTACACTAAGAGCCTGACAAAGCCCTAGCTCTCACTAGGGTTGGGTGGAAAATCATGATCCCCACAAACTCTTAAGGTTCAAGATATTCAGCAGAGACAGGTGCTTTCATCGCATCTATCTAGATATCCAGTCTAGATGTCCCTTCCCATATCCGAGGTTCTCAGAAGTTATAACAATGGCCCTACTTTCTCATTATCTCTCTGCAGAGCATCAATACATCTAACAAAAAATTCAGCTCATCATTCCTTGAAGGCATTGATCTCCCAAATCTTTAAAAATCCTGAATCATTGCAACCTCAATGGCAGACCCTTACTGGAGCATTTTCTCTGGTCACTACAGGTGAAAGCATAAGCAATTGGACCCCCCCATCTTGCTCTGGGGACAATCTATGTCCCACCTACCACACAAGATAGCATATACCTGCCAGGTGATAAGTAATCCAATCCCTAAGTCCTGTCCTATTGTCTTTTTCTTGAGCCTCTACTGGTACTTGAGCCAGCTGAGGTCCTCTGAAGGGGATTTGGTGTGAAAGGATTTTACTGAGGAAATGTATTAGTAAAGGTTCTCCAGAGAAACAGATACACACACACACACACACACACAGAGAGAGAGAGAGAGAGAGAAAGAGAAAGAGAAATGTATTACGAGGGATTGGCTCACATGATTATGGAGGCTGAGAAGTCTTACGATCTACCATTGTCAAGCCAGAAGCCCAGAAGGGCTGATGCTGTGGTTCCAGTAGAAACCCCAAAGCTTCAGAATCAGGGGAGCCAATGGAGAAAGTCCCAGTCCAAGTCTGAAGGCCTAAGAACCAAGAGAGGCAACGTCAAAGTTGCCTCTGTAGAGGGGAATATAGATGTCCAAGTTTAAGCACAGAGAACAAATTATTTGTCCTTCCTCAGCCTGTTAGTTCTACTTAGTCTTTCAATGGATTGGATGATTACTACCCACATTGGAGAGAGTCATTTTCTTAACTTAGTCCACCAATTCAAATGCTAATCTCTTCCAACAATGCCCTCATAGACATACCCAGAATACTGTTTTACCACTATCTGGGCATCTCTTAGACCAATTACGTTCACATATAAAATTCATCATCACAGGAAGATACCTGCAAAAGATTAAGGAGAAGTACACAAGGAGAGGCATCAGAGATTAATGAAGAGAAGAAACGTGCAAAATGAAGCATAGAAAGAAAAAAATTGGAAAGGAAGTATCTTAGACTGTAATTTAGATCTGAGGAAGTTTTATCGAAGTCCATGGGAAGTCCCAAGCTGTGCTTTTTAGAGTCAGGGGTGCATGTACCATGTCAGGCTCAACTGTACAATGACTACCACACTTAGTACCAAGACTACAGGCTCGGTCTGGAAATCATGTTCTTAATGCAAATATGGTGACAGTTCCAGAAGTGTGGCCTCACAGCAAGAGATATGAGTGGAGCATTTTCATGGGCCACCACGTTGTTGAATCACTAATATATATTCTTAAAGAAGGTGATTTAAAATACCTAGTGTGTGATTTTTTAAAATTTATACACTTCTTTCTTTCTTTACTTTCTTTTTTCTTCTTTTTCTCCTTTCTCTTTTTCTCTCATATATATATATATATAGAATTACATATATATTACATACATATATATTGTTACATACACATATATGTAATTCTTCCCATAAAATTGTGAGCAAGTTCAAAAACATTATTTTGAAGATTAAAATTTGGTTGCTTACAAATTAGTATTTTATTTTTAAATTTTCTGCTGAACTTAACAAAAATTGTTTAAAAGCCAATGTTTTCTAAGAAGAATAATTGTAGATCTTTTTTTATAAAACATAAGCCTTCCTATTAAAAATTAATTTCTAACTGTGTGATCTCTGACATTAATTTAATAATTGATCACAGAAGCATCATATAGACATTGTATCTATATAGAAATTTCTATATAGATACAATGTCTACCCCTTTGATATATTAGGTTAATAAGGTGGTACTAACAGCAGTATAGAGTTATTGTTTCTGGGTTTATATGAGAGGAAAACAAAGAATGGGAAAAAAAAGAAAGGAAAGACAAAAAGAAGTGAAGAAAGGAAAGAAAAAGAAAGAGAAAGAAAGAAAGAAAGAAAGAAGGAGTTGTCCAACTCCTCATATGACAATAGATCAATGTGTATAATCATGCTTCCCAAAAGGAAGAAGCAAATAATTGGGGAAAATAAATACAATCTGTAATAAGCGAAGAAGTTGAAAAACAAAGAGAAAGATTAATTAGTACTTATTTTAAAGAATAGGCACAGTCCTACAGTTGACCAGAAATATAACTTGTTGTTTTATAAACTGCATTTATTTAATTTAAGGAATATTTATATATGTCTCTAGCCTCTACCATTTCCCAGCAAAAAATAAACAAATAAAAATAAAATAAAAAGGAGATTTTTGTTAAGGTCTTGTATTATTATTTCAATGTTTTTATCTAGAGTATGTTGAGAAGTATACCATTCGAAGTGTTGCAGAATGTGCATTTTATAGCAGTGATTTTTTTAAATTAACATAGGTGACTGGTACACAAAAATTAAATGAAAAAAATTTATTTAACTTTTGTTTTATATCTTAAGGTTAGGAATGTTAGGATTCCACAGATTTCTTATGAAGACAGTTGATAACTCTCATCCCCAAATATTGACATTTGTAACTCATGTTTCATGTCTTTTTCTTCCAACATTTTGTCATGGATGATCAGCAAATGTACCAGCTTTTGGCTGTGCAAGAATTTATAAACATAACAGTGGGATATTTAATAGTAAATTCTTTCTTTCTTTCTTCCTCCCTCTCTCTTTTTCTTTCTTTCTTCCTTCTTTCTTATAAATATATAACTTCTTTCTTATAAATATATAAACTTTATCACCAGCCTTATATTTTTTATAATTAAATGAAGAAAATGACAATTGTATATAAGTCCATAATATTAATATTTTCTAGTATTCTAAGATTCACTTTTCCACAAACATGTCTTAATCTTATTTTGTTTTCATTCTTGATACATCTCCTGTGTTCATACCACACTAATATATTTAGTTTATGAATAACAAAATGCACTTCAATTCCATGAATAGAGGTTTTCATTTATAACTGAATTGAATTCAGGCAATAATTTGTATTGCTTATCTATTTAAAACCACAACTCTATATATTTTAATTATCTATATGTCTACTGAAAAAAGATGTATCTGGAATCAACTAAATTGAATAAAATAAGTTGGACATATATTTTAATATGTAAAACACTTAAATATTTGTTATGGAAAATCAATTGTTTAAACAAAAGTTGTCAATATTAGTTGAAATCATTTCCAGTTAATTTATGTGTTTATTCGTCTTCATTAAATGAGACCTTACATATATATTATACAGACACACTTCCTATGTTCTCCAAACATAAGGAAATATTTCCTAAATTTTTATTTTTCAGTTTCCACTTGGATAGCTATTATTAAAATGTCTCCAGTAGCATTCTTAAAAACATTTAAAGTAATTTTCTCTCTTATTCCAGCATTTTCCTTTATTACTTGTAAAAGTTTAAACTACTAATATATCTGCGTTAATAAAAAATAGAAAAAAAGCTATAAATCACCAAGATTTGTTTCTAAAATGTACATCTCGTACTTGACATTTAAGACAAATGTCTTCTACCTTTTTAATATTTCATAGAAGCTGTTACTGAAAGGTCTAGTTCTTAACCTAAATATCTGGCTTTTATTCAAAGCTAAGGTTATCATTTTCCTTGAAATATGATTCCATCTGGGAATACTTACCGTAAATCTAATTGATTGATTAAACAACTCCTTAACGGTATAGTCTTGATGATACAAACATAAATGACTTCAAATAAAATTATAAATAACTAATGTAAAAAACTATATTGTATTAAAAGATCATTTATATATATTTTAAATGTATCTATACCAACAATTTTGTTTGCTTTTTTTATTCAGCTTCCAGAAAATATGGGAAAATCTGCAAATATCTATAATACTTAGTAAAATTAGTAATATTTTTCCTTGGGAAGGGAAGAAGCACTTGCTGAAAATCACTGTTAGGCAGACAGCTAGATAAGCTCTCTAGTTTTTATCATTTTATCACAACAATTCTCTAAAATAATTAGAACTATTCAATTTTTCTTAAGATGTAAGAAAGGAAAAGGAAAACAAATTTTTGAGAGCCAACTTTTCCAGCAAATATCTCTTTGTAAGAAAGTGGCAAAGTGACAATTCAAAACAGCGCTTCCTGGACTCACTTTTTTTTTTTTTTTTAATTTTTGTTTTTTGAGACAGAGCCTCCCTCTGTTGCCCAGGCTGGAGTGCAGTGGCGCGATCTCGGCTCACTGCAAGCTCCGCCTCCTGGGTTCACGCCATTCTCCTGCCTCAGCCTTCTGAGTAGCTGGGACTACAGGCCCCCGCCACCACGCCAGGCTAATTTTTTTGTATTTTTAGTAGAGAGGGGGTTTCACCATGTTAGCCAAGAAGGTCTCGATCTCCTGACCTCGTGATCCGCCCATCTCGGCCTCCCAAAGTGCTGGGATTACAGGCGTGAGCCACCGCGCCCGGCGCTGGACTCACTTAAAAAGAAAAAGACAAATTATACTGGTTCTATCTTCACTACTTTAAACTACTTAAATACAGTAAACATTTTTAATATTTTTGTCCTTATTTATATTCCTGCAAGATCCTTATTACTCCATTCAACAAATATGGATTAAACTTTATATATAAATGAACACTGATTTTTGACTGACAAAGGTGGCAATTTTATATGGTTATCCTAATATTTACTGAGTGTTTCTTGTATGAAGAGGATATAATACTCTAATTTCTTTTCTGTGTAATGAATACTGCAAAATTTTGTGGATTAAGACAACATTTAGTACCTAAATGTTTTTGAGAGTGAAGAATCCCATCATGGATTAACTGGTTCCTTCCTTTCAGGGTCTTTCATAGGCTACAATCCAAATGTCAGTGAGAAAGCAGGAAAAATCTGAAATCAACACCCTAACATCGCAATTAAAAGAACTAGAGAAGCAAGAGCAGGGCTTTAGTCTCTTCTGAAGACTTAACTAAGGAAGGATCCACCTTTTATTTTATTTTTTTTGAGACAGAGTTTCTCTTTTGTTGCCCAGTCTGGAGTGCAATGGCACGATCTTGGCTCACTGCAACCTCTGCCTCCTGGGTTCAAGTAATTCTCCTGCCTCAGCCTCCCGAGTAGCTGGAATTACAGGAATGCACCACCACGCCCGGTTAATTTTGTATTTTTAGTGGAAACAGAGTTTCTCCATGTTGGTCAGGCTGGTCTCGAACTCCCAACCTCAGTCAATCCACCTGCCTTGGCCTCCCAAAGTGCTGAGATGACAGGCGTGAGCCACCGCACCCAGCCAGGAAGTATCCACTTCTAAGCTCATTCTTGTAATTCAGCATTCAGTTCCTCAAGACATTTGGACTAAGGGGCTCTGTTCCTTACTGTTAGCCAGAGTCCACCTTCACTTCCTGATCACATGGACCTCCCTAGCTTGTTTCATCAGAGCAAATACTCAAGGAGAGCCAGAGAGA